>NC_000004.12:112557744-112709259 GCF_000001405.40 Homo sapiens
ACTTCATCAGTCAAAGCTGCTTATTGCAAACAAACTGTGAGAAATGTGTTGGGTAAGAATGGTCAGGGACTTGCATCCTTAGCATCCCAGCAGGGATGCTCAGGGCCGCTGGCAGACTGCCTCCCCCAACAATACCTCTCTAGCCCTACATGTTCTTGGCTGAACTTGAATTTTTGCATGAGTATCACTGTGCCAAAATTTCCAGTTCTGGTTTTGATTTTATCCTACTTACAAGCTAATTAGCCCATTACTGTTTCATAGATGCTGGCTTCTGGGTCAGAGACAAAGGTCTTGCATTCTTGGCATAACCAGCAAGAGTACATGGACACTCAGGGCCCATAGTGGGTTGCCTCTCTCAACAATATCCCAAAACATTAGCTACTTAAATGCACTTGTCATGCCTACCCAAGAAGTACTCTGTCAACAGCCACATTAGTAGAAGAAGAAATCAGAAGTTTCCACGGCCTTGCATTTCCAATGGTGGGAGCTTCACTCTTTTCAAACAGCTGTACAAAGAACAAAATCACCACTGCCAGCAAGTAACTCTTTCCTGCTCCAAACACACCTAATTATTTTAAAAGAAGAAAAAAATAAAAAGCATAAAATAAATAAATTTCTTTTTTCTTTTCTTTTTCTTGAGACAGAGTCTCACTCACTCTGTCACCCAGGCTGGAGTGCAGTGACACAATCTCAGCTCACTGTAACCTCCACCTCCCAGGTTCAAGTGATTCTCCTGTCTCAGCCTCCCAAGTAGCTGGGATTACCGGCGTGCACCACCACACCTGGCTAATTTTTGTATTTTTAGTAGAGCCACCATATTGGCAGGCTGGTCTCAAACTCCTGAACTCAAGTGATCCACCTGCCTTGGCCTCCCAAAGTGCTGGAATTACAGGCGTGAGCCACTGTGCCTGGTCAAACATAAATTTCTATAGGTATAACAAATATTTCATCCATCTCTCCCTCCTCCATTTAATTAATTAATGTCTTCAAAATACATTGAGTGTTCACTATGTGCAAAGCACAGGGGATAAATAGATAACCAAAATACTTCCACTTTTAATGAGACCAGCGCCTACTTAAAATGATAAACAAGGAATAATTAGAAATAAGATGGTAAGTAATATTATCTTGGATCAGAGAAGGAAGAAAATCTATCTCTGTTTTGATGGAGGTGGGAGTACTTCCTAAAATTAAGAAGTAGAACTAAGACTTCCAGAATAAGATGTCCAGACTGCTTAGAGATAGGGCCATTCCAGGCAAAGCCATGACAAAGCATGTCGCTGTTAAAATAACTTTTCTATATAACCTCTACCAAATAGGCAAGAGATGAGGCTGATAAGGTAGGCACAGGGGTAAATCACAAAAGCTCTGTTTGCTATAGCTAAACAAAGTTTGAATTTTATCTTAAAGGCCAGCAGATGTCATCTAAAGATTTCAAGCAATGGTTGTTTTTTTTTGTTTTGTTTTGTTTTGAGACAGGGTCTGGCTCTGTTGCCCAGGCTGGAGTGCAGTGGCGCAATCGTGACTCACTGCAACCTCTGCCTCCCAGGCTCAAGCCATCCTCCCACCACAACCTCCAAAGTAGCTGGGACTACAGGTGCATGCCTCCATGTCCAGCTAATTTTTAAATTTTTTTGTAGAGACAGCATTTTGCCATGTTGCCCAGGCTGACCTTGAACTCCTGAGCTTAAGCGAGCTACCCTCCCTGACCTCCCAAAGTGCTGGGATTACAGGTGTGAGGCCAAGCAATGGGTTTGACTTAATCAGATTGTGTTTTTAAAAAACAACTTGAATGAAAATATGAAGTAAGGCAAAACTAGTGGTAGATCAATTAGAAAGTTGTGTGAGATAATTACAACAATAAATGTTAACTTTACTAAGCACCTCCCATGTGCCAAGCACTGTTCTAAGCCCTTTATGTATGTTAACTCATTTAATCCTCCAACCCTATGAGGTGAATGCTATTATGATCTCCATTTTGCAGAGTAGGAAATTAAAGATTAAGAGATATATAACCTGCCCAAAATCATACAGCTAACAAATGATACAGTCAGAACGTAAATTCAGGATTCTAACTCTAGACCCCACACTCTTACCCACTAGGCTATATGGAGGTATGATGAAGGCTTGGATTGAGGGGATACAAGTAAACTGGAGAAGAGACACTCAATATGAAAGATGGATAGAAGCTAGAAGGAACACATCTCAGTGACTAATCTGATGGCGGGAGATGAATAGTGAGAGAATATGAGGAGGATTAAGAGAGAGTCACTTAATCTTGAGAGAAAGAAAAATCTACGATCACTCTCAGATTTGATTTGGTCAACAGGGTGGATATGACATAATTCCTCAAAATAGGACAGAAAAGTAGGATTAGCTTTGGGGTGGAGGTCTATGAGAGAAAATGTGCTACAGAGGCAACAGAGTCCAGATAGAACTATTTACTGTAAGCAGGAGGAAGTAAATCGCCTTCACTGTGACAGAACCAAGCGGTAAGAATAGCTCCAAAATTAGGTAAATTGGAGAAGGAAGGCAGGATATTGAAAGCAGTTTCTGTTATGACCTCCATTTCCTCTTTTAGAGGCAAGATCAAGAGAAAGGACAAGAATGAGGTTATGAGAAGAATTAAGGTTTGTAATCACTGATATAAAGGATAGAAGAGTGAGCTGACTAGGAATAAATAAAAGGTTTTGCTGATCAAGTTAAGTTTACTATAGGAGAGCAACATGTAAACATCTAGATCAATCTGGATACTTTGACCATAAGTTTATAATGCTACTCATTCATCAGATATGCTAATAAGTCTCCCTTTTAGGGTAGTCAGTTCTGTTCTCATCTAACAGTTTACCAAAGTGGGTACAGGTTTAAAAAGTCTACTTAGAGTTATTCTTGAACCTCATTTGACTAGGAAATTATAAAGGAGCAGACTGAGTTACAAAAGCTTACAAATAGAAAACAATTACAATTATTTTCTTTCTTGCTTCTTACCATGTATGATTGTGATAGGGAAGGTATGAGTTTGCAGTTCCTTCACTTCTTCAATGCTTTCATGTGATGCCATCATTTGAGCTATTTGAATTAGAGCTGTAGCTTGATCCTTGTTTAACTTGTGTACCTGAATCAACTCACTAGCTAACTTCAATGTTGCTCCTAGGCTGAGTAGTTCAAATTTTGTACTGACATTTGTGAAGGCTGGTGGGATAAATTTTCTCTTACTGACTCTTTTGTTACTAACTATAGTTGGCGAAGACCTAATAAAAATGAAGCAAATAAACAATTTTAAAAAAAGGGGCATTTGAAAAAGATGAGTAGAATAATTCATAACTTAGCCATCACTTTGTAAGCATTACAGAGAACAGTTTTTTATGGAAATAAACAGTAAGTGGATATATACTGTAAATGGATACATACTCCAATATCGAGGAGGGTAGAAGAGAACTGACGTTTGTTGAATACTTACTACATGCTGACACTTTGTTGAGCATTTTACATATTACTTGATGAAATCTTCACAACAACACTAGGAAATAGTTAGTTAATTATCCCAAGTACAGATACAAGAATATTGAATTTTTTCCCCCAATACCACACCACAAATAAGTGGCGGACTGACTTTAAAACCCATGCTCTATTATACAAACCTAACTTAGATAATTAATCTAGCCCTCATTTCAGGTAAAACTACATCACATGAATTGGTCTTATTTCTATTTCCATGAAAATTCATTTCAAATTGGATAAATAACATAATGAAATCAAAGGATATTTATTTTTTTACCTAGGACTTCATTGTAGTGAGAAAAATAAAACATCACAGGTAGATAATAATATTCCAAATTGAAAACTGGATTTTCCTATCAATTTTAATGCATTTAATATAATATCACTTCCAATTTTTTAAAAAGGGACATGGTGCTTGAGAAATTCAAAATGAGATATGGCTATATCGAGAATAAAATCAGTAGCAATATACACACTGGATTCCAGCTGTAAAATGATTCCTTTAAATGTTAAATAATTTGTAATATAAAAATACAGATAATAAAAAATAAAATCAATACTGAAATGATCCTTAAATTATCTCTTGATGAAGTGAAAATGTACAGTAACATTTATTAGCTCAAACCTTAATAAACAGATGAAAAATAATGCATAATTCCTTTTCTCTTTTTTTTTTTTTTTTTTTTTGAGATAGAGTTTCACTTGTTGCCCAGGCTGGGGTGCAATGGCACCCGGCTCACCGCAACCTCCGCCTCCCAGGTTCAAGCAATTCTCCTGCCTCAGCCTCCCGAATAGCTGTGATTACAGGCATGCGCCAGTATGCCCAGCTAATTTTGTATTTTTAGTAGAGACAGGGTTTCTCCATGTTGGTCAGGCTGGTCTCGAACTCCCGACCTCTGGTGATCTGCCCACCTCGGCCTCCCAAAGTGCTGGGATTACAGGCATGAGCCACTGCACCCAGCCCCTTTTCTCTTTTTAACCACTGACAGAGAATAATGTCATAGTCTGAAAAATAATTACAATTTTATTGGCAACATTTATATACTGTACTTTTATTGAATTTTCATATTTACTTCTGATTACCATTTTTTAATACCAATGACTCAAAGGTAAAAAATGACTTACGTTGTTAACAGGTACTGTGTTAGAGGTAGAGTAGCTGGATTAAAGTAGTCCTGAATGTTTTTCAAAGTAGTCAGTTCTGTGCTAGCATTACAAACCAATAACGCATGGACAACCACTGTACAGAGGATGCAGAAAATAAACATTTGATGTAAATAAAATGGACCATAAAAACTCTGTGTTAAATGCCCACATAACTCAGAGTTCAGCTACTGAATTAAGCACATGACATAAAACAAACCCTTAAACACACACAGAGATCCCAAACTTATATTCATTAAATTACTATGCTATCTGCTCATTCATTTTATAATGGGTATGCATAAACTGCATAATTTAAATCATATTTGGACTTCCATATATCAGCAAATGAACAAGAACACCTGTTTTGAGTTAGTACCTAGTAGCACAACTTCACAGCCAGCAGTTTCCTTTAATCAACATATCACTTGTGCCACAGAGTAGTATTTGTATAATTTTTAAACACTTTCTTGCATTTTTTCCTCAATTACTTCACAGAAATATATGGAAAACAGAAAATCAGAATAATCTAATTAGAAAATTAGAACAAAACAATCCCCCACACACCATTCTTCCTCACAGAAATATCTATATATTCAACTTCATACACATTTTCAGGAACTCACTGTACACAACAGTCGAAACTAGAGTTGGGTCCTTTTTGTTGGCTTTAATCAAACAGTGCATCTTATGTCTATCATTCTTTTTAAATATAAACTAAAATGAGCATAGTAATACTCACTGTTAGTGGGCCAATTAGAAGGGAAATAGCCTTTCAAAGGCAGTATTTCTATCTCATTGATAGATGATGGTCCAAAGAAAGCACTACATGCGATAAAAGTATCCAGCTCAAAGTCTAGGGTTTTTGAAACCACCCAAAGATCATCTGAAAAGACAAACATTTTTAAATATTACACAGACATATACAGTATGGTTTTATATTTTTAGAAATTATATATATTTGCATATGTGTGTACATATATCTATAGTACACATATACATACACAAGATGAGAAGTAAAGTTCTGGAAAGATAATTCATCAACTATCAACCTAAAGGTTGGGAGTGCTCTGAACAAAAGAACCAGCATCAGATTCTGCAATTAATACAGTACCACTTGAATCACACAGAAAAAGACTAAAGAGATGGCAGAATTACAGGGTGAGGAAGAAGGAGGGCAGAGACATCACATGGGAAGATGAGTTTGCTACAATGGAAATCCCTAGGTTTTGCATAAACCCACAGAAGGCCTAAGAAGGCAGGACATGGGCTAGCCCATAAGACTATTTTATTAGTCCGTTCAGGCTGCCATAACAAAATATCTTAAATGAGTAATTTATTAAGATGATTAATATCTTAAATGAGAAATGTATTTCTCATAGCAGTTCTGGAAGCTAAAAAGCCCAAGATCAAGGTGCCAGCACAGCACCAGTGAATAACCAGTGAAGGCTCATTCTCACTTTGCAGATGGTGCAAAGGGGCCAAGGCACTCCCTTTAACCTCTCTTATAAGGCCACTAATCCCATGCAGGATTAAGTTATGCAGCGCCCACATGACTTAATCATTGCCCAAAGGCCCCAGCTCTTAATACACTGGCAATCAAATTTCAAAGTATGTATTTGGCAGTGGGAACGGACGGCAGGGAACACATTTAGACCACAGTAACCACTTAACAAGCTACAAAAAAAAGTAATATTGGACTCAGTTCAGGCTGAGAAAACCAACTGCCAGGGCATCAGCAATTGGAATAGTGCCAAAGATCAGATCAGTAAGGATATTAGCAGTTCTAGCAAGCTGAGAAATAATCACAAAATAGTAATATACTATTCCATTTTCACTAACAAGCTTCTTTCAGGAAAGCTGACCTTCCTCCTCTCTTGTAACTACTTAGTAATTAGTATGTGAATCTTGTGATATTAAAAGTAGGCACAGAGAAGAACAGGGTTTTTAAAAATGAGAAACGTGTGGAAGCCCTGAAAGAGAGACTAAACTGGGCAGCGACTAAGATTTCAATACCCAAATGCATCTGAATTTTACTGGACAAAATCTATCAAATTGGATTCATCTTAAATTTTCTCTGCTGCAAATAGGAATGAGAGATTGAAGTGAAGAAAATAAACTGAAGAGAACCTTAAGACTGAATATATCTAGTAATTATTTAATCATATGCATTTCACAACGGTAACCTATAAGGAATGAAAATGAAAGGTATTAAAGTAAGACTTTCACTTTTAACTGTATATATTTCTTTATACCTTCATTTTTCATTGTATATATTTATGTATTACTTGTTTAATTTTTTTTCCCCCAAATGCTGGCTTGGAGATTTTTAATTTTTAAAAAATGATCACAAATGCTTAATTTCTAAAAATCCAACCACTTCATGAATGTCTTCTATGTGATATACATTTAAAAAATAAAAACATACATAATGTTCCTGCACAAAAGTTTCCTTCGAAGGTCACATTATAAATTCTTTTTACTGAATTGTGTTCGCAGCCGCCACCGCGCCGCCGTCGCTCTCCAACGCCAGCGCCGCCTGTCGCTGACCAAGCTCCAGCCGAAGGAGAAATGAGGTAAGTAAGGAGGTCTCTGTACCATGGCTCGTACAAGGCAGACTGCCCACAAATCAACCGGTGGTAAACCACCCAGGAAGCAACTGGCTACAAAAGCCGCTCGCAAGAGTGTGCCCTCTACTGGAGGGGTGAAGAAACCTCATCGTTACAGGCCTGGTACTGTGGCGCTCCGTGAAATTAGATGTTATCAGAAGTCCACTGAACTTCTGATTCGCTAACTTCCCTTCCAGCGTCTGGTGCGAGAAATTGCTCAGGACTTTAAAACAGATCTGCACTTCCAGAGCGCAGCTATCGGTGCTTTGCAGGAGGCAAGTGAGGCCTATCTGGTTGGCCTTTTTGAAGACACCAACCTGTGTGCTATCCATGCCAAACGTGTAACAATTATGCCAAAAGACATCCAGCTAGCATGCCACATACGTTGAGAATGTGCTTTAGAATCCACTATGATGGGAAACATTTCATTCTCAAAAAAAAAAAAAAAAAAATTCTCTTCTTCCTGTTATTGGTAGTTCTGAACGTTAGGTATTTTTTTTCCATGGGGTCAAAAAAAGAGCTTCTGCACAGCAAAAGAAACTACCATCAGAGTGAACAGGCAACCTACAAAATGGGAGAAAATTTTCACAACCTACTCATCTGACAAAGGGCTAATATCCAGAATCTACGATGAACTCCAACAAATTTATAAGAAAAAAACAAACAACCCCATCAAAAAGTGGGCGAAGGACATGAACAGATGCTTCTCAAAAGAAGACATTTATGCAGCCAAAAAACACATGAAAAAATGCTCACCATCACTGGCCATCAGAGAAATGCAAATCAAAACCACAATGAGATACCATCTCACACCAGTTAGAATGGCAGTCATTAAAAAGTCAGGAAACAACAGGTGCTGGAGAGGATGTGGAGAAATAGCAACACTTTTACACTGTTGGTGGGACTGTAAACTAGTTCAACCCTGTGGAAGTCAGTGTGGTGATTCCTCAGGGATCTAGAACTAGAAATACCATTTGACCCAGCCATCCCATTACTGGGTATACACCCAAAGGACTATAAATCATGCTGCTATAAAGACACATGCACACATATGTTTATTACGGCACTATTCACAATAGCAAAGACTTGGAACCAACCCAAATGTCCAACAATAATAGACTGGATTAAGAAAATGTGGCACACCATGGAATACTATGCAGCCATAAAAAATGATGAGTTCATGTCCTTTGTAGGGACATGGATGAAATTGGAAATCATCATTCTCAGTAAACTATCACAAGAACAAAAAACCAAACACCACGTATTCTCACTCATAGGTGGGAATTGAACAATGAGAACACATGGACACAGGAAGGGGAACATCACACTCTGGGGACTGTTGTGGGGTGGGGGGAGGGGGGAGGGATAGCTTTAGGAGATATACCTAATGCTAAATGATGAGTTAATGGGTGCAGCACACCAGCATGGCACATGTATACATATGTAACTAACCTGCACAATGTGCACATGTACCCTAAAACTTAAAGTATAATAATAATAAAATAAAATAAATAAATAAATAAAAAATAAATTTTTTACTTACTGAATTAATAACATAATTCAAAACATGCAAAACAATGCTCAAAAACACTTTTGAATTAAAAAAATAAAGATATAGGGGATTCCTGATTCTGGTGTCATCTAAGATGCTGAATTAGTATGATTGTTGGCTTCCTTTCTGTGGGGAACAGAGAGAGAAGTGGAGAAAACCATGGAAAACCTCGAGTTGGAGGGCCTGTTTTGTACTGGGGTTTGTGTCCCTGAAGTGATTTTGGCCAAGGGCAGAAGGCCTGTAGAGGAGGAGGGGATCAAAGAGGGTGGGGAGGCTCTTGGGGTTCTGTTCTTACTTCCCATCCCATCCTCTTCCCCATCCCCAATTGTACTGGGACAAATAGGGCCTACCCATCCATAAGGCAATTTATACTTCTGGTCCAGAAATCCTCTGGAGGAAAAAAAAAAAAATCAGGGTAGCAATGCAAGTTCTGTGCCATAAAGTGTGGAGAAAAACAGATGGTAACTCACTGATCACAGGCAGTCTCCACCTCACCTCCAAACTCCTAGGGCTAAAGAATTCTACAGTCTAAGAAATGATACATCTTAATGTTGCTTTTTCCTTTTAACCAGAGGTTTTAGACTTCACTTTAGGGATTGTTCTGCAGGTAGTTGTGGTTTTCTGGTGCCTGGGGCTCTCCACCCCATAGCTCATTTACACCCTCAACTCCCTGAGCTCCTTGGAGCTGACCAGATTGGGATGGGCCTTCCCCAACATATACTGCCAGAAAGAAAAGCTCATAACGCCAGGGAAAAATGAGTTCACAGGCCAAAATATTGAGACATTCAAGGAACACAAAGACTTAAAAAAAAAACAAAAACTGGACTATAGAATCATATAGAAAAGGGAAAGCCAGAATTGATGGGCAAATAATTTAAATTTGGCCTGATAAAGAGATGTAAAGAGGTAAAGGAAGATGGTAACAATGTAAAATAATGACAGCCGAGTGCAGTGGCACACAACTGTAGTCCTAGCTACTTGGGAGGCTGAGATGACAGAATTGCTTGAGCCCCAGAGTTTGAGGCCAGCCTAGGCAAAACAGTGAGGCCTCATCTCAATAAATAAATACATATGCACATACATACAAGAAAACAGGCCAGGCACAATGGCTCACACCTATAATCCCAACACTTTAGGAGGCTGAGTCAGGGGGATAACTTAAGCCCACGAGTTCGAGATGTGCCAGGGCAACATAGCAAGACCCCATGGCTACAAAAAATAAAAACATTAGCTGGGTGTAGTGGCTTGAACCTGTAGTCCCAGCTAGTCAGAACGCTGAGGTGGGAGGATCACTAGGGCCTAGGAGGTCAACGCTGCAGTGAGCCGTGATTGCTCTACTCCAGCCTGGGTGACAGAGTGAGACCCTGTCTCAAAAATTAAAAAACAAAAACAAACAAACAAAAAAAACAGGAAAAAGAAATGAACAGAAATATTAGGTTGGAAAAATATAATTGATAAATAGCAGGATGAATACATTTGAGGAATCAATAGCCAATTCAGATAATCATATTGATGATATTTCCCAGAAGGAAGAAAGGACAAAAATTCAGGAAATATAAAGGAAAAACTAAGAGATTTGGAAGACAGATTCAGAAGTGCTAATATTTAAATAATAAAAGACCTAGAAAGGAGGGAAAGAATAAAGAGATAAATAGGAAGCTTATTTGAAGAAATAATGAAGATCCATTTCCCAGAAGTAAAAAAAAGATGATGAACTTTAGATTTAAAAGGCCCATAATGTGCCCAAGAGGAGAAACAAGGAAAAACCCAGTTAGACACTGTATAGAGAAATATAAGACTATCAAAGAAATCAAGAAAATTCTAAAACTCCCAGCCAGAAAGACCACATAACACATAAAGAAATAAGACTCAGAGTGCCGGCCAGGTGTGGTGGCTCACGCTTGTAATCCTAGCACTTTGGGAGGCCGCGGTGGGTGGATCACCTGAGGTCAGGAGTTCGACACCAGCCTGACCAACATGGTGAAACCGTGTCTCTACTACAAATAAAAAAAACTAGCCAGGCATAGTGGTGGACACCTGTAATCCCAGCTACTTGGAGGCAGAGGCAGCAGAACCGCTTGAACCCGGGAGGTGGAGGTTGCAGTGAGCCCAGATTGCACCACTGCATTCCAGCCCGGGTGACGAGAGTGAAACTCTGTCTCAAAAAAAAAAAAAAAAAAAAAAAGCCAGGCGTGGTGGCTCACGCCTGTAATCCCAGCACTTTGGGAGGCCAAGGCGGGCAGATTACAAGGTCAAGAGATCGAGACCATCCTGGCCAACATGGTGAAACCCTATCTCTACTAAAAATACAAAAATTAGCTGTGCATGGTGGTGTGCGCCTGTAGTCCCAGCTAATCAGGAGGCTGAGGAAGGAGAATCACCTCATCATTCAGGAGGCGGAGGTTGCAGTGAGCTGAGATCACGCCACTGCACTCCAGCCTGGCGACAGAGCAAGACTCCATCTCAGAAAAAAAAATAAAATCACAGTGCCATCAGACTTTCAAACAGTGAATACAAGATGATAACTAAGTATATTAAATGTTGGATTAAAATATTTGAAAGTGCTGTTTTTGTAGGTTGAAAGTATTAAAGGAAAAGAACTTAGAACCTAAAATTTTATATGTAGCCAAATTATTGTCCAAAGAAAGATAGAAAATAGATCTATACTAACCAAGTGTTTCAAGATTTAGACTAGAACTACTCAAAGTAGGCTGTCCTAAACAGTTTGTTATTGGTCTGTAACAAGAAGCTTGTGCTAGAATATAATCCAATAAATCAACATAATGCTTCCTTCATTCAGAAAGCTTGCTACAAATAAAACAAAATACAGCTAAACTAAACAGCATGCTAATGATATAGATGATTTACATTCTGGAGCAGCTCCTCAGCTCTTTTTGGGAACCAGTAAGTTTGTGGACCAGAACCAGCCTACAGACTCTACCTTGAGTAGCACTAGTCTAGATTTTGTCAACTGGGGGCAGGGCGGGCAAGAGTAAGGAAAGGGATCAGGGGAAGAACCAAGGGATGTGGGTGCTTTCTAAGTATCTGTTTTATTGGGGGCAGGGATAAGATTTAAATATCAATTTATTTTTTAAAAGTAAGAAATTATTTTAAAAAGCATAGTAAAATTAGAATAAACAAAAATAATTTAAGATTAAAGAAACACATCCAGGTGTCAATTACTATAATAAATTCAACTATCGGGCTTATTCTATTTACAAGTCACGTCTTTAAAATTGAGACATATGCTGTTTATAAGGAACACCTGTAAAATATGAAGAAAGAAAGATAAAAAAATGAAAAAAGACTTATGAAACTAATACTAGTCAAAATAAACTTAGCATATCTACATTAACAGATAGATTTTTAAGAAAAAATTATTAGAGATGGAAAGGATCATCTCTACATGATGATGTAAGTTTACCCTGAAGTTAATAATTTAAAACATATATGTACCCAATAAAATAGCCCTAATATATAAGATGCAAAAAGTAATAAATAGCAGACAGAGAGTGCACCACAGAGGAAGTTTGCAACTCATCTCCCTTAATTACTTAGATAACTGCCACAAAAAGTTAGCAAGACTATATAGAAGATCTGGACAAGACAATTAATAAGCTTGATCTGATCATTAAAGAGTTTTGAATTCAACAATTAGAGAAAATGTATTTCTCTTGTACTATGCCATTAAAAAAAAACCTTAATAATATCACTTCTCAGTCTTTTGGCTACAATCAAGTGTACAAAAACCTTAGTAGGCTAGTCGTGGTGGCTCACGCCTGTAATCCTAGCACTTTGGGAGGCTGAAGAGGGCAGACCACTTGAGGCTAGGAGTTTGAGACCAGCCTGGCCAACATGGTGAAAACCTGTCTCTACTAAAAATAGAAAATTTAGTGGGTGTGGTGGTGGGTGCCTGTAATCCCAGCTACTTGGGAGGCTGAGGCAGAATGGCTTGAACCTGGGAGACACAGGTTGCAGTGAGCTGAGATCATGCCACTGCACTCCATCCTGGGCAACAGAGCAAGACTCTGTCTCAAACATACATACATACATAAATTTAATAAATTTTAAAGAATAATATTATAAAAATCATAATGTCTACCTATTACATATTTAAGTCAGAAGTTAACAAAAAGTTCAACTAGAAATTCCTTACATTTTTAATATTAAAACACATGCTAAATGACTCACAGGTTAAAAAAAATCATAATGGAAAACTTAAAACAAACTGAATTATAATGAAAAAAATACTTCAGCAAAAATAGAGTGGTAGGCCAGGCATGGAGGCTCACATCTGTAAACTCAACACTTTGGGAGCCCAGGCACGCAGATCACTTGAGGTGAGGAGTTCAAGACCAACCTGGCCACCATGGTGAAACCCTGTCTCTACTAAAAATACAAAAAGTTAGCTGGGTGTGGTGGTAGGTGCCTGTAGTCCCAGCTACTCGGGAAGCTGAGGCAGGAGAATCACTTGAACCCAGGAGGTGGAGGTTGCAGTGAGCCAAGATTGTGCCACTGCACTCAGCCTGGGCAACAGAGCCAGACTGCATTTCAAAAAAAAAAAAAAAGAGTGGTACTTTAAGGAAAACTTACAGCCCTAATAATTATATTAGAGAAGAGAAAAGCCTCAAAATTAGCTAAGTATCAAGCTTAAGATGTGTAAAAAGAACAGTATACTATCCTAAACAAAATAGAAGAAATCATAAAAATTAGAGAGGAAGCCAATAACAACAATAAAAACAAAACAAAAATACATTGCTGATCTTCTGATCAATAAAGCCAAGTCAGTTCTTCGAAAACAATAACAAAATAAGACAAACCTCAGGCAAGACTGGTCAGAAGAATAAAAACACAAACAATACAATGGTATCAGAGAATATGAATAAATTTAAGATAAAAATATTCAAAACTTCTACAGGGAAATTTGCAAAACTTTATTATAAGATGTTACAAACAATTTTTAAATAAACAGAGATACAGCAAGTACATGGTATTAAATCTTAATTTTTTTTTTTTCTGAGACAAGGTCTCACTATGTTGCCCAGGCTGGTCTCCAAACTCCTGAGCTCAAGCTATCCTCCTGTCTTGGCCTCCCAAAGTGTCGGGATTACAGGCGTGAGCCACCATGCTCAGCCCTAAATCTTGGTATTTTAAAGATGTCATCCCTTCTCAACTTTATAGGTACAATTCCAATTAAGATCCCAACAAGTTTTTCATGAAACTTGATAAGATGATTCTAAAATATATATGAAAGAGTAAAGGACCAAGAACAGCCAGGTCACATCTAAGAACAGAGAGGGGAACTTGCACTATTTGATATTTGGATTTATGAAGCCATGGTAATTAAGGCAGTGTGGAACTGGTACAACAATATACAAATTAACCTACAGTATAAAATAGGGAGTCAAGAACACACACAGCTACTTTAAACCTGATTATATGACAGAGGTAGCATTTCAGATCAGTGAGGAAAAGAGAGACTAATCAATAAAAAATGGTTACTATTCTAGCAAAATTGGTAATTAAAAAGAAAAAGATGAAACTGGATCCCTACTTCATACCATATACAAAAGAAAAAAGAATCAACTTCAAGTGGACTGAAGATTTAAATCTCATAGCCACCAAAACAGCATGGTACTGGTATAAAAACAGGCACACAAACCAATAGAACAGAATAGAGAGCCCAGAAATAAAGCCAAATACTTAGAGCCAACTGATCTTTGACAAAACAAACAAAAACATAAAGTGGAGAAAAAACACCCTATTCAACAAATGGTGCTGGGATAACTAGCAAGCCACATGTGGAGGAATGAAATTGGATCCTCATCTCTCACCTTATACAAAATTCAACTAAACATGGATCGAGGATTTAAATCTAAGACCTGAAACCATAAAAATTCTAGAACATCAGAAAAACCCTTCTGACTTTGGCTTAGGCTAAGACTTCATGACCAAAAACCCAAAAGCAAATACAATAAAAACAAAGCTAAATAAGTGGAACTTAATTAAACTATTAGTAAAAAGCTTCTGCACAGCAAAATTAACAATCATCAGGGTAAACAGACAACCCACAGAGTGGGAGAAAATATTCACAATCTATACATCTGACAAACGATTAACACTCAGAATCTACAAGGAACTCAAACAAATCAGCAAGAAAAAAACCAAATGATCCCATCAAAAAGTGGGCTAAGGACATGAATAGACAATTCTCAAAAGAAGATACACAAATGGCCAACAAACATGAAAAAATGCTCAACATCCCTAATGATCAGGGAAATGCAAATCAAAACCACAAGGCAATACTGCCTTAATCCTGCAAGAATGGCCATAATCAAAAAATCAAAATTAATAGATGTTGGCAGGGATGAAAGGGAACACTTTTACACTGCTAGTGGAAATGTAATCTAGTACAACCAGTGGAAAACAGTGTGGAGATTCCTTAAAGAACTAAAAGTAGAACTACCATTTGATCCAACAATCCCACTACTGGGTATCTATTCAGAGGAAAACACAAAAAAGATACTTACACGTTTATAGCAGCACAATTCCCAATTACAAAAATATGGAACCAGCCCAAATGCCTATCAATCAACAAGTGGATAAAGAAATTGTGATACACACACACACACACACACACACACACACACACCCATGGAATACTATTCAGCCATAAAAAGAAACGAATAATGGCATTTGCAACAACCTGGATGGAACTGGAGACCACTATTCTAAGTGAAGTAACTCAGGAATGGAAAAATCAAACATCGTATGTTCTTACTCATAAGTGGGAGCTAAGTTATGAGGGTACAAAGGCATAATAATAATACAATGGACTTTGGGGACTCAGGGGAAAGGGTAAGGGGGGCAGTGAAGGATAAAAAGACTACAAATTTGATACGGTGTATACTGATCAGGTGATAGGTGTAGCAAAATCTCAGAAATCACTACTAAAGAGCTTATTCACGTAACCAAACACCACCTGTTCCCTCAAAAAATTATGGAAATTAATAATAAAGATTTAAATGTCAAAAACCAAACCGTAAAACATTTAGTAGAAAATATAGGTGAGTAATTTTAGAACTCAGCATAGGAAAAGATTTTTAAGGTAAGATGCAAAAAGCACTGTCAAAAAGAAAAGATTACTAATAAATATGACTATTCTAAAATTAAGAATTTTTATTTATCTAAAGACACCTTAAAGTAAGTGAAAAGACATGATCTGATGAGCAGATATTTATAATATACATAATCAACAAAGAATATGAAGAATACATAAAGAACTTCTATAAATAAAAGAAGGTTATAAAGAACCCAATAGTAAAATGGCTAAGAAGAAACACATGTAACTAAAAAACACATGAAGAGTATTTTAACATCAGTGGTGAGCAGAGAAGTGTGAGCTAAAACCACAATGCAATCATCTTATACTCATTTGAATGGGTTGATCCATAAGATCTCTTATACTTAGAATGAGTACAAACTGATAGAGCCACTTTGGAAATCAGTTTGGCATCACAATCTAAAGATGTGTGAAGTATGTTCATATGCTGTAAGGCAGCATTTTCATTCCTAGAGTAATATTCAAAAGAAACCCATACATGTCTAAAAGACAGTACAAGAATAATATTCATAACACCCTGTTCACAATGGTAAAACTTAGAAACCCAAACAACAATGAAAACAATAAACTATAGCATGTTTACAAAATATTATACAACAGTCAAAACAAATAATCTAGACTCTAGATTTGAGAACAACATGGATAAATTGTAGCAACATACTAACCAAAAAAAGATAAATTCCAAAAGATTATATACAGAATGACATCATTTTAGTAAGGTCTAAAAAAACTAAAAATTTTATATAGCTCTTTAGGAATTCATTTACATAAATCTATACACAGAAGAAAGAAAAATGCTGGTGAGTGCAAGGATCAAAATGATAATTACCTTGGGTTTGGAGAGACAAGATGAGGTAATGGGGTTAACTTAAATGTAGGTTGGTATAAAGGTACTAGATTTTGATTTGGTTTGTGGGCTCACAGATGCTTATTGTATTATTTTAAGTAAGTTACTAATTAAATAACTAAATGAAGGTGAGCTATGTGAGGACCAATGACTAAGAGTAGGTCACAAAATCTCAAATAATGATTAATCCAACTTAGTGTACCTAAGGTCCTTTAAAAACACTCAATGCTGGCCGGGCATGGTGGCTCATGTCTGTAATCCCATGGGAGGCCAAGGTGGGTGGATCACCTGAGGCCAGGAGTTCAAGACCAGGCTGGCCAACATGGTGAAACCCTGTCTCTACTAAAAATACAAAAATTAGCTGGATGTGGTAGCGCGCATCTGTAATCCCACCTACTCGGGAGACTGAGGCAGAATAATCACTTGAACCCAGGAGGCAGAGACTGCAGTGAACCTAGATCACGCTACTGCACTCCAGCTTCAGCAACAGAGTGAGACTCTGTCTCAGGAAAAAAAAAAACAAGCAAACAAAAAAAAAACAATGTTTAAAGAATTTTATTTCCAAATATACAAAATTTGGGGTTCAATGTTGCCAAATTACATAGACAATAAAAGAAGCATCAACAAACTTATTATTACGTATTTTCAGTTTATTTTCGACATTAAATCAGAGCACAGTTGAATCAATATACTTACTTATATGATTCCAAGAACTAATTAAATGTTTCTCGTATCCCTTTTAATAAAGTTTTTAAAAAGGCCTAACATTTGGGGGGAAGAGCCAAGATGGCCAAATAAGAACAGCTCCAGTCTACAGCTCCCAGCGTGAGCAATGCAGAAGACGGGTGATTTCTGCATTTCCAACTGAGATACCGGGTTCATCTCACTGGGGAGTGTTGGACAGTGGGTGCAGGACAGTGGGTGCAGTGCACCGAGCATGAGCCGAAGCAGGGTGAGGCATCGCCTCACCCGGGAAGTGCAAGGGGTCAGGGAATTCTCTTTCCTAGTCAAAGAAAGGTGTGACAGACGGCACCTGGAAAATTTGGGTCACTCCCACTCTAATACTGCGCTTTTCCAACAGTCTTAGCAAACAGCACACCAGGATATTATATCCCGTGCCTGGATCAGAGGGTCCTACACCCACGGAGCCTCGCTCATTGCTAACAGAGCAGTCTCAGATCAAACTGCAAGGCAGGAGCTAGGCCAGGGGAAGGGGTGCCTGCCATTGCAGAGGCTTGAGTAGGTAAACAAAGTGGCAGGAAGCTCGAACTGGGTGGAGCCCACCGCAGCTCATGGAGGACTGCCTGCCTCTGTAGACTCCCCCTCTGGGGGGCAGGACTTAGCCAAACAAAAGGCAACAGACACCTCTGCAGACTTAAATGTCCCTGTCTGACAGCTTTGAAGAGAGTAGTGGTTCTCCCAGCACGCAGCTGGACATCTGAGAATGGACAGACTGCATCCTCAAGTGGGTCCCTGACCCCCAAGTAGCCTAACTGGGAGGCACCCCCCAGTAGGGGCAGACTGACAACTCACACGGCTGGGTACTCCTCTGAGACAAAACTTCCAGAGGAACAATCAGGCAGCAACATTTGCTGTTCACCAATATCCGCTGTTCTGCAGCCTCCGCTGCTGATACCCAGGCAAACAGGGTCTGGAGTGGACCTCCAGCAAACTCCAACAGACCTGCAGCTGAGGGTCCTGACTGTTAGAGGGAAAATTAACAAACAGAAAGGACATCCAAACCAAAACCCCATCTGTACGTCACCATCATCAAAGACCAATGGTAGATAAAACCACAAAGATGGGGAAAAAACAGAGCAGAAAAACTGGAAACTCTAAAAATCAGAGCGCCTCTCCTCCTCCAAAGGAACGCAGCTCCTCACCAGCAACAGAACAAAGCTGGACAGAGAATGACTTTGACAAGTCGAGAGAAGAAGGCTCCAGACGATCAAACTACTCCCAGCTAAAGGAGGAAGTTTGAACCCATGGCAAAGAAGTTAAAAACCTTGAAAAAAAATTAGACGAATGGCTAACAAGAATAACCAACGCACAGAAGTCCTTAAAGGACCTGATGGAGCTGAAAACCATGGCACGAGAACTGCATGATAAATGCACAAGACTCAGTAGCCGATTCGATCAACTGGAAGAAAGGGTATCAGTGATGGAAGATCAAATGAATGAAATGAAGCAAGAAGAGAAGTTTATGGAAAAAAGAATAAAAAGAAATGAACCAAGCCTCCAAGAAATATGGGACTATGTGAAAAGACCAAATCTACGTCTGATTGGTGTACCTGAAAGTGACAGGGAGAATGGAACCAAGTTGGAAAACACTCTGCAGGATATTATCCAGGAAAACTTCCCCAATCTAGCAAGGCAGGCCAACATTCAAATTCAGGAAATACAGAGAATGCCACAAACATACTCCTCAAGAACAGCAACTCCAACACACATAATCGTCAGATTCACCAAAGTTGAAATGAAGGAAAAAATGTTAAGGGCGGCCAAAGAGAAAGGTCGAGTTACCCACAAAGGGAAGCCCATTAGACTAACAGCTGATCTCTCAGCAGAAACTGTACAAGCCAGAAGAAAGTGGGGGCCAATATTCAACATTCTTAAAGAAAAGAATTTTCAACCCAGAATTTCATATCCAGTCAAACTAAGCTTCATAAGTGAAGGAGAAATAAAATCCTTTACAGACAAGCAAATGCTGAGAGATTTTGTCACCACCAGGCCTGCCCTAAAAGAGCTCCTGAAGGAAGCGCTAAACATGGAAAGGAATAACTGGTACCAGCCACTGCAAAAACATGCCAAATTGTAAAGCCCGTCGACGCTAGGAAGAAACTGCATCAACTAACGAGCAAAATAACCAGCTAACATCATAATGACAGGATCAAATTCACACATAACAATATTAACCTTAAATGTAAATGGGCTAAATGCTCCAATTAAAAGACACAGACTGGCAAATTGGATAAAGACTCAAGATCCATCAGTGTGCTGTATTCAGGAAACCCATCTCACATGCAGAGACACACATAGGCTCAAAATAAAGAGATGGAGGAAGATCTACCAAGCAAATGGAAAACAAAAAAAGGCAAGGGTTGCAATCCTAGTATCTGATAAAACAGACTTTAAACCAACAAAGATCAAAAGAGACAAAGAAGGCCATTACATAATGGTAAAGGGATCAATTCAACAAGAAGAGCTAACTATCCTAAATGTATATGCACCCAATTACAGGAGCACCCGGATTCATAGAGCAAGTCCTTAGAGACCTACAAAGAGACTTAGACTTCCACACAATAATAATGGGAGACTTTAACACCCCACTGTCAACATTAGACAGATCAATGAGACAGAAAGTTAACAAGGATATCCAGGAATTGAACTCAGCTCTGCACAAAGCGGACCTAATAGATATCTACACAACTCTCCACCCCAAATCAACAGAATATACATTCTTTTCAGCACCACACCACACCTATTCCAAAATTGACCATATAGTTGGAAGTAAAACACTCCTCAGCAAATGTGAAAGAACAGAAATTATAACAAACTATCTCTCAGATCACAGTGCAAACCAGAACTCAGCATTAAGAAACTCACTCAAAACCACTCAACTACATGGAAACTGAACAACCTGCTCCTGAATGACTACTGGGTACATAATCAAAGCAGAAATAAAGATGCTCTTTGAAACCAAAGAGAACAAAGACACAACATACCAGAATCTCTGGGACACATTCAAAGCAGTGTGTAGTGGGGAATTTATAGCACTAAATGCCCACAAGAGAAAGCAGGAAAGATCTAAAATTGACACCCTAACATCACAATTAAAAGAACTAGAGAAGCAAGAGCAAACACATTCAAAAGCTAGCAGAAGGCAAGAAATAACTAAGATCAGAGCAGAACTGAAGGAAATAGAGACACAAAAAACCCTTCAAAAAATCAATGAATCCAGGAGCTGGTTTTTTGAAAAGATCAACAAAATTGATAGACCGCTAGCAAGACTAATAAAGAAGAAAAGAGAGAAGAATCAAATAGACACAATAAAAAATGATAAAGGGGATATCACCACCGATCCACAGAAATACAAACTACCATCAAAGAATACTATAAACACCTCTACGCAAATAAACTAGAACATCTAGAAGAAATGGATAAATTCCTCGACACATACATCCTCCCAAGACTAAACCAGGAAGAAGTTGAATCTCTGAATAGACCAATAACAGGCTCTGAAATTGAGGCAATCATTAATAGCCTACCAACCAAAAAAAGTCCAGGACCAGATGGATTCACAGCCGAATTCTACCAGAGGTACAAGGAGGAACTGGTACCATTCCTTCTGAAACTATTCCAATCAATAGAAAAAGAGGGAATCCTCCCTAATTCATTTTCTGAGGCCAGAATCACCCTGATACCAAAGCCTGGCAGAGACACAACAAAAAAACAGAATTTTAGACCAATATCCCTGATGAACATCGATGCAAAAATCCTCAATAAAATACTGGCAAACTGAATCCAGCAGCACATCATAAAGCTTATCCACCATGATCAAGTGGGCTTCATCCCTGGGATGCAAGGCTGGTTCAACATATGCAAATCAATAAACATAATCCAGCATATAAACAGAACCAACGACAAAAACCACATGATTATCTCAATAGATGCAGAAAAGGCCTTTGACAAAATTCAACAACCGTTCATGCTAAAAACTCTCAATAAGTTAGGTATTGATTGGATGTATCTCAAAATAATAAGAGCTATCTATGACAAACCCACAGCCAATATCACACTGAATGGGCAAAAACTGGAAGCATTCCCTTTGAAAACTGGCACAAGACACGGATGCGCTCTCTCACCACTCCTATTCAACATAGTGTTGGAAGTTCTGGCCAGGGCAATCAGGCAACAGAAGGAAATAAAGGGTATTCAATTAGGAAAAGAGGAAGTTAAATTGTCCCTGTTTGCAGATGACATGATTGTATATCTAGAAAACCACATCGTCTCAGCCCAAAATCTCCTTAAGCTGATAAGCAACTTCAGCAAAGTCTCAGGATACAAAATCAATGTGCAAAAATCATAAGCATTCTTATACACCAATAACAGACAAACAGAGAGCCAAATCATGAGTGAACTCCCATTCACAATTGCTTCAAAGAGAATAAAATACCTAGGAATCCAACTTACAAGGGACGTGAAGGACCTCTTCAAGGAGAACTACAAACCACTGCTCAATGAAATAAAAGAGGATACAAACAAATGGAAGAACATTCCAAGCTCATGGGTAGGAAGAATCAATATTGTGAAAACGGCCATACTGCCCAAGGTAATTTACAGATTCAATGCCATCCCCATCAAGCTACCAATGACTTTCTTCACAGAATTGGAAAAAACTACTTTGAAGTTCACATGGAACCAAAAAAGAGCCCACATTGCTAAGTCGATCCTAAGCCAAAAGAACAAAGCTGGAGGCATCACGCTACCTGACTTCAAACTATACTACAAACTATACTACAGTAACCAAAACAGCATGGTACTGGTACCAAAACAGAGATATAGACCAATGGAACAGAACAGAGCCCTCAGAAATAATGCCGCATACCTACAACTATCTGATCTTTGACAAACCTGACAAAAACAAGCAAATGGGAAAGGATTCCCTATTTAACAAATGTTGCTGGGAAAACTGGCTAGCCATATGTAGAAAGCTGAAACTGGATCCCTTCCTTACACCTTATACAAAAATTAATTCAAAATGGATTAAAGACTTAAATGTTAGACCTAAAACCATAAAAACCCTAGAAGAAAACCTAGGCAATACCATTCAGGACATAGGCATGGGCAAGGACTTCATGTCTAAAACACGAAAAGCAATGGCAACAAAAGACAAAATTGACAAATGGGATCTAATTAAACTAAAGAGCTTCTGCACAGCAAAAGAAACTACCATCAGAGTGAACAGGCAACCTACAGAATGGGAGAAAATTTTTGCAATCTACTCATCTGACAAAGGGCTAATATCTAGAATCTACAATGAACTCAAACAAATTTACAAGAAAAAAACAAACAACCCCATCAAAAAGTGGGCAAAGGATATGAAAAGACACTTCTCAAAAGAAGACATTTATGCAGCCAAAAGACACATGAAAAAATGCTCATCATCACTGGCCATCAGAGAACTGCAAATCAAAACCACAATGAGATACCATCTCACACCAGTAAGAATGGCGATCACTAAAAAGTCAGGAAACAACAGGTGCTGGAGAGGATGTGGAGAAATAGGAACACTTTTACACTGTTGGTGGGACTGTAAACTAGTTCAACCATTGTGGAAGTCAGTGTGGTGATTCCTCAGGGATCTAGAACTAGAAATACCATTTGACCCAGCCATCCCATTACTGGGTATATACCCAAAGGATTATAAAACATGCTGCTATAAAGACACATGCACATGTATGTTTATTGCAGCACTATTCACAATAGCAAAAACTTGGAACCAACCCAAATGTCCATCAGTGATAGACTGGATTAAGAAAATGTGGCACATATACACCACGGAGTACTATGCAGCCATAAAAAAGGATGAGTTCATGTCCTCTGTAGGGACATGGATGAAGCTGGAAACCATCATTCTCAGCAAACTATCGCAAGGACAAAAAACCAAACACCGCATGTTCTCACTCATAGGTGGGAACTGAACAATGAGAACACATGGACACAGGAAGGGGAACATCACACACTGGGGCCTGTTGTGGGGTGGGGGGAGGGGGGAGGGATAGCATTAGGAGATATACCTAATGTTAAATGATGAGTTAATGGGTGCAGCACACCAACATGGCACATGTATACACATGTAACAAACCTACACGTTGTGCACATGTACCCTAAAACTTAAAGTATAATAAAAATAAAAATAAAAATAAATAAAAAAATAAAAATAAAAAGCCCTAATATCTTAAAAATATGTTTTTTAGAAGTGGTCTAATTTATTATACAATTAGTTTATAATACATATTACTATTAAATTATACTTTTAAAATTTAATATAAAATTCTTTAATATAAACAATTTATACAGCTGTATGTAATGGAGATAATAAGGCTAGACTGAATCGCCAGTATGATCAGATCAACTTACTTTTGCTATAAGCTGAAGATCTTTCCTTCCGACTTAGCTTAAGATAAAGTTTGGTTTTTGGTTCATTATAAAACTCAGGATTTACAGTAGTAAACTTCTTTAGTTTGCCATACTGTTTTCTCTGAAAATCAAATCCTTTTCTGAAAAGGGAATAAAAAATAAAAATGAATTGTAATATTAAGATGCAAGTTTTTTGAAAATCTTTAAAATACAGTATGAAAAGAACCAGGGTTTCATATGTTTACCTAGTTTCATACATGTATACAAAATATAAATATACTGTATCAAAGTAAGAAAATAACAACTGTCACAGAACTGTCATCAGTTTTAGAAGAGACTGAGATAGAAAAGTATCTAAAAGATAGAACACCTCGTGTGCTTTTTAAAATTTTTAAATTTAATTTTGTTTATTGGTATATAATAGTTACACATATTTTGGGAGTACATGTGATATCCTGATACCTTTACACATTGTGTAATGATCAGATCAAATCAGGGAAACTGGGATATTCATCACTTCAAACACTGATCTTTTCTTTGTGTTGGGAACATTACAATTCTTCTCTTCTAGTTATTCTGATATATACAATAAATTATTGTTAACTATAATTTCCCTACTGTATTCCTTTTTTTTTTTTTTTTAACACTTTAACCAACCTCTCTTCATTTCCCACCCCCTTTTCTTCCCAGCCTCTGGTAACCATCATTCTATTCTCTTACTTCCATGAGATCTGCTTTTTTAGCTCCACACATGAGTAAGAACATGCAATATTTGTCTTTCTATATCTGGCTTTTTCCTTTTTTTTTGAGACAGAGTCTGGCTTTGTTGCCCAGGCTGGAAGTGCAGTGGCATGACCTTGGCTCACTGCAACCTCCACCTCCTTGGGCTCAAGCCATCCTCCCGTCTCAGCCTCCCAAGTAGCTGGGACTACAGGTGCAGGCCACCACACCTGGCTAATTTTTGTAGAGACGAGGTTTCATGAGACGACGTTTCATCATGTTGCCCAGGCTGGTCTGGTACTCCTGTGTTCAAGTGATTCACCCACCTTAGCCTCCCAAAGTTCTGGGATTACAGGCGTGAGATCATGCCTGGCCTTTGGTTTATTTCACTTAACATAATGACCTCCAGTTGCTGCAAATGACAAGATTTCATTCTTTTTTATGGCTGAGTAAGATCCCATTGTGTGTGTGTGTTTACATACCACATTTTCTTTATCCATTCATCCATTGATGGACACTTAGGTTGATTCCATATCTTGGCTATTGTGAATACTGCTGAAATAAACATGAAAGTGCAGGTATCTCTTTGATATACTTATTTCCTTTCTTTTGGATACATACCCAAGAATGGGATTGCTGGATCATATGATAGTTCTATTTTTATTTTTTTGCGGAACCTCATTTTCTAAACTATAAAACGGGAATAACTTATTCCGATATCTCCATCTTACGGGCTATTATAATAATTGCATAAAATAATTCATGCGAAGTGCCTAGTTAGAAGAGGGCCTGGCATATATCAGCTCCGAATAAAAATCTTACTACTAAATCACCATGCAAATAGTCATTATATTTATTTTGAATAATCTAAACTTTTATAAGACATACTTCCAAAAAGTAGCATTCTATTACCCTATAAGCTATGTAGTTCAGACATGCAAATGATCACTTATTTATTATGCCACACTGCTAAAAATTATTCCTATAGTTTGTCGGATAGGGTTTCCCTTAGGATTGTGGAAAATAGCCCCGACTATATACAAAATAAGTTAGAAAAATAGCACCCTGCTAGTTATCCTGATATTGCTGACATTGTTTGATGTTTAGAGGGAGCCGAAATAACTTTAAAGACTTATTCCCTGGCCGAGCATGATAGCTCACACCTCTAATTCCAGCACTTTGGGAGGGTGAGATGGGAGGATCATTTGAGTCCAGGAGTTTGAAACTAGCCTGGGCAACATAGCAAGACCCCAACTCTACAAAAATTTCAAATTAGCTGGGCATGGTGGCATGTGCCTGAAGTCCTAGCTACTCAGGAGGCTGAGGTGGGTGGAGAGCTTCAGCCCAGGAGTTGAAGGTTGCAGTGAGCTAAGGATCACACCACTGCACTCCAGCCTGGGCAACAGAGCAAGAGCTTGTAACTATATAATTAAAAAAAAAAAGACTTATTCCCATTTTGCAGGTTTAGAAACTGAGGTATTCCATCTTTTAAATAGTTTTCCTATCTTAATCTCTTTTAAAACTGATGATAGTTCTGTGAAGGCTGTTGTTCTCTTATATAATCACAGGCAATTATTTGGTACTATAAAACATACCTCACCAAAAGCTGGCATTCCTCATAAAGTGGTATCTTTTGACTTCTTAAATATAAGCCAATACTCTTAATATCACTTAAAACCATGCCAGGTCGAGCTCCTTCCTGTGTTGAATATCCTGGAGTCACGTCCTCAAGCCATTTAAAGAATTTACATCGATCAGCTTTGGGTCCATCACATGTATAAAAGAGACGACCCTAAGGGGAAAGAAAAAAGATCAACATTTAGTGAAAAAAATGCTTTTATTTTTCGATTATTTTTGTGTTTGTCAAGGCTTCTATGAAGACTGCTTGGCATTACTGTACTCCAGTAAATTAGTCACTATATGACTTAACTTTATCATTAATTTAAAATTTAAAACCACCTACTTTTCCATTTACTTTCTCTTTATCAAAAGATTACATTATTCTGAGAATAAAAGCTTATTTGAAAATTTGTTTTTCTGATTTAAAATGTTCACTATAAACAACCTGAAAACTGTCCAGAAACACTGAATATCTTATCCATTTATTTCTATCCTTTTTTCTCATTCGCGTAAGTACACACACACCACAACCCAAAAAGAACAAACACATGTAAATTTTTTTTACACAAAACTCAGATGATACATTTTCTACTCTGTAACCTAGCCCTTGTACCCAACAACATAGTACGAGCATGCAACTATGTCATCAAATAATCTTAAAAAGAAAACAAAGATTTTTAGTGGCTATATTTTAGTCCACAGTTATATCACTACTCATGAATTTTTGCTTTTGACACCTAAATTTAAATCCAAATTTACACACTTAGCTAACAATGAAGTGGGATATGCAAATGGTGGAAGCAAACTGTATTATGAATGAAAGCACAGTTCTACAATGAGTATAAGTCATCAATCAACATACATTTTACTAACCTGACTTCCTCCATAATATATTATTAACAATGTAAATTAAGCCAGCATACTTTTCTATTCCTCTGGCCTTATCTGTTACTTGTACTGGGGATTACATGGTAGACTAGTTTCAACCTTCATTTCTTTCAGGCTCATTTCTGAATTCTCTAAGCTCTCAGGTTGGAACATATCCCCCTTCTCAGTGATCTCACTGTAACTTGAGCATATTCCTCCTATTTTATCAATTACAGAAGTATGTAAAATTTTCAGCTGGGCACAGTGGCTTATGCCTGTAATCCTAGCACTTTGGGAGGCCAAGGCGGGAGGATGGCTTGAGCCCGGAAGTTCAAGGCTGCAGTGAGCTATGATCATGCTACTGCACTCCATCCTGGGCAACAGTGAGACCCTGTGTCTAAAAAAATAGTAATAATAAAAATAAATAAAAATACTATACAAAAAGTTCCTAAGCAACTTGAAGGTTAATCTTAACTCATATTTTTGTATCCTAGAGCACAAATCATTCTTTCAATAAAACTTTGAGAATTTAATGTATGTTAGGTACCAACACCTCAAATAGAAAGCTCTTAATCAAGACTCACTCTTTAAGCTTATCATGAAGTAATAGGTATCTAAACCCTTTATAAGACAAGTATTTGGTATGGTAGGGGGAGGGGAAGCAAGAATACCTTATTTGGACCTTCCTTTTTAACCATGACAAGTTTTGCAGGTTGACTATGATGGCAGGATGGTACATTATTTTCTGCGTTTTTCAGTTTCTCTCCCTTCAATGATGTATAAAATGATATGTCAACTTTTGAAAGAGCTTTCTGCAGGTTTTGTGCTAACCCAAACAGCAATATATTTAGATGTTCTACAAAAAAAAAAAAAAGAGAGCAGAAAATTAAATACAAAATAATTTTGTTTGTATCACATATGTGCTGTTTGTAGCTAAATTTGAATAGCCTTTAAACAGAGTCATATAATAGGAATATCCGTTTTTAAAAGTTATTTTCTGCTAAATTTAACAGGTCATTTGTAACACTTCTAGTTAAAAAAAAAAAAAAAAGGAAGAAAAACTCTTAACTTTCAAAAGATAATACTGGCCAAGTGTGGTGGCTCATGCCTGTAATCAACGCACTTTGGGAGGCCAAGGCGAGTAGATTGCTTGAGCCCCCTAGGGGTTGAAGACCAGCCTGAGCCATATGGTGAGACCTCATTTCTGCTAAAAATACAAAAATTAGCTGGGTGTGGTGGTGTGCACCTGTGGTTCCAGCTACTTGGGAGGCTGAAGTGGGAGGATCACTTGAACCTGGAAGGCAAGGTTACAGTAAGCCAAGACTGCTCCACTGCACTCCAGCCTGGGCAACATAGTGAGATCCTGTCTCAAAAAAAAAAAAGAAGATTGTAATTTCCCACTTTTAAAACTCAGTTTTGATCTGAAATTAGAATAAAAGTTACTGTCAAAAACTAGAACATATGAAAAATAAGGTATTTAGTATGAAAATTCACAATATAATGTATTAAATTCTCACAATTTTACTACTTACATGAAGCAGCAATCATGATACAATAAAAACACAACAGCCATACCTATGAGGCAAGATGTGAAAGTCTGCTTATAATGAGCAGGAGACTGAAAAACAGCTGGTATGTGAATTTGCCTTTGGGGAAGATAAGCAGATTTTATTTTCTGCCCACTTGGAAAGCACAGCTCAGAGCCACTTATCTCCTGCAATGGAATAATTCAAGTTATCATAGCAACTCCAGAAAAATACTGTTTACTAAAGAGTAAATTATTTTTCATAGACATTTTTTAAAAATATTAATTTTTCTTTTGATTTCTAGGATCCTTGAAAATTACTTTCAAATTTTAAATGAGAAACCAAATATAGCAAGAATAGCTACGAATGGCAATTTTAACCCTATATAAGAGTAACTTTTCTTATCTGCCCCTTAGTAAGTTTTTATATATTTTTTGCTAGGAAAAAGTTAACTGATGTGAATGGATCATTACGTATCTTTATTTCTGGTTATGACTATAATAAGGATTATTCACAATTAACGTGAAATAAGATGCACCTTTACCCTAATGACTTAATCAGCAAACACAATTGACAGTCAAAAGTAAAAACAATAATTGTAATGGTAGTAGTGATGGAAACAAAAGTAGGAGCTATCACTTATTAAGTACTGATAATTTACCAGACACTGCACCAGATACTTTCAAATAAATCATTTCATTCAATGTTCACTACTATTACGAGAGATTTTAAGTAAAGGATGATGTAACTGTAGCTCAGAGTTAGGATCAAAAAAAGCCATCTGTCCAAATTGCTCCTATGCAGTATATTTTGGTAATTCTTTTGTTGAAATTCAGACAATAACTATTGGAAAAATGCACCACAAGACCGGTACATTTCCTCACCTGTAAATCCTTTACACTGTAGTTGTAGCAGGTAGACCCTCCTAATACATTTTTAATTTCCTCTGTCTTAGAAGTCTGCTTTAAATTCAGAGAAAGTACTTTCTTTCTGGAAACCGAATCTTGACTGCTAAAATCCTGCCGCTGTTGATAGAGCATGCCTTTTATCATTTGCAAATGCACAGAGTCTAAAGAGCTTTCATTGACAGCATCACTCTGTCTTTCACTTGTGTCTCTAAAATGCATCCCAGAAACAGCCTCAGCAAAGAAGCCATCAGTTATTCTCTTATCAACTCTGTTTGGAGTAGCCACGTTGCATTGGGATGTGTTTTGATATTTCAGCCACTTGCTCTGAGTAGATATATTATTAAGTGAAACATCCCCTGGATTCACTTCCCTAGATTCTTCAGAGAAAAAGGTTTCATTTTGGTCCTCAGGCTCAATGCTAAACGAAAGAACTGCTGACTTTTCACACAAATTGAGCATGGGGGAGCCAGAAGACTCGTATGTGTTAGAGTTGATCATATACGAATGAGAGTCTAAGTCAGGTGGCCCATCAGTACGTGGCAAAGTAATAAGTGGAACCTGGGTTCTACTTAATAATGAAAGCCTTTGAAGGTTCTCATTCTCCAGAGAACGGGATTTTTTCATCCCTGAAAGAAAACAGAATGCTGATTAAATAAAAATGTTCTACTAGTTATCACCTAGGCTCTAGAAAACAGTGGGTATACAAAAGCAAAATGTAGCAACTTGCTCTGAAAAAAAAAATCACATTATTTTATTTCCTTAAAAAAAAATTAATGGTTTTAACCTCAAAAAATAAAGATTTCAAAGCTTAATTCATATATACTGAAACATTCTTAGGGTTGATGAAGTCCCTCTTTTTCTTCTCCTCCTTTTTTTTTCCTAATTACTAAATTATGTTTATATAGCACTTAACATTTTCAAAGCACTTTAAAGCTAACAACAACAACAAAAATGCATCATTCTCATTTTACAAATGAGATTACAAAGGCTTAGCAGTAGCATAACTACTAAGTGGCAGAGTCAGGATAAGAACCTAGACTAGTTTTTTATATCTACTTTACATTCTTTCCCAGAGACGGAAGCTCATGGTTCATTTATATGACTATGTGATTGTAACTTCCTTTATATATTTTTACACTCATGAATTATCATGTTACCCTTCAGAGTAAAAAAAGATTTTAGCTTTATTTTGATCTAATGGTGTTTGATAAGAGTATAATTCTGGTAAACTCATGGCAAATTCTGTCTGAAAGAGTTTAATGATTCCTTCTGTGTGTCAGCAGCTTTAGTGATATATTCCTAAAAATCTAAGAAGCAGTAACTATTTGTTGAATATATAAACAAATGAATAATACTGCATCAGAATTATGCAAGCTTATAGTTTTTATCTGACAATACTATGGATTCCTATTTTATAATAATGTGCCTTCCTGACAGAGTTTCTATCTTGTTGGAAATATACTCTGGAGATCATCTGGAAAGTAGCAGAGCAGTAGGTGAGCCAATGAATATTCTTTTATAAAGTGCTATGCTGTAATTCTAACAAGTCGATCAAGTAACACTGACAGAAAAGTTAAAAGTCCATTAAAGTAAAAGATTCATGGTATAACTGTGAAAATCATCTACTGTTCACTACCATATCACTTTTTCTTGAATACCCACTCCGGTGTATTTGATTCTTCTCTACCTTGTTGCCTTCTACCAACCACACCCATAAAACCTTTTCTAACCCAACTACCAATTCACATTACAGAATTTTTTGTTATCATCCATCCAAAATCAAAAAACTATCTACAACTCACCCCTCACCCAACATAAATTCAGAATCAGGGGAAGATATATTGATGAGATTATAAGAAAAGAGAAAAAAAGAAATTTTAGTGAAAGGGATCCTAGAGAATAGTATTATATTCATCAAGAAGCAGAAGCTGACTCATAGTGAAGGGCCAAAATATATGAAAACCTAGAGTCCTAGGAATGCAAGGGTGGTAGCAGCAGTTGAAGAGTTCAGGATCCCAAAGCAAAAAGAGACACTAAAAGGTTATGCTAAGGTCAACCAATGGTGTTGATGAGACACTTGCAATGAGTCATTCCTCTGGAACAGGAAAGGGCTGTAAAGGGGTCAGATGCTGGAGTTACAGCTGTGAGAAGAACTGACAATGGTAGAAGATACTTTCAGGGGTCTGTGTTGACAAAGTTGGGAGGAGAAACAAGAAGGAACTAGATAGCTAGAAGGGAATATTGTACCTGGAATAGCTATCTATGATAGAAAAAGTTCAAAGGAAGAAAGGTTATGGAAAGGCTTCAAGGGATATGACACTGAATCTGGTTCTAAGATATATTTAGTGTAATAATCTCTCAAATAAAAAACTTCATCTTAAATGAATAGACAGATATTAGAGCAATGTGGTAACGACTACCCTCCAAGTTGAGAAAATGAAGATCATCAGGTAAAGTTCTTGCTTTCAGGGACGTCTCAGAGAATTCTACCATGAAGTCTTCATCTCTTGAGTTCAAAGAAAAGGTAGAAACAGGGCTCAATGTAGAGATGTTTTCTTCTGGTGATGTCACCTATACAGAAAGAAGAATCAAAACTACAGACCAAAATCTTCTGATTTTTTTCTTTAGTTTGAATGAATTCTAGTAATCTATATTATAAAAATAATGATTTAAAGCACATTATGTAGAGCTATGGTGGGGGCAACAACTATAAAACTTCTTCCAAAAAGGACAGAATAAACTTACTAAAATCAACAAGAATAACAGTAAAATACAGAGCATAAAATCTTTCAGATTTACTTGAAGTGGGTCAGATTTTGATTTGGACTGGTCTGGGTTATTAGGCTTTGGTCCTGAAGATCAACTGCCATTCTAAGGGGCTCAGGCCAAATTAGACCTCATGTTTACAGCTGTGAAGGTCTAAATCCCTGCAAACTCAAGGACTGAACAGTTTTCTCTTATGTCCTCAAGTCCATAGTTGATCTAAACTTCAAGACATTGCTCCCAAATGAAGTGAACTTGTTAAATACATGCCAGCTATACAGTTCATATGTTATTCTTGTTAGAACAGCATTTAATTTTGCTGCTGCTTCTTCCAGAAATTAATCATCTTAAAATCTAATATGATGATCAAATATATACACAATATATATATTTGTATAAGCACAGAATAAAAGAATAAAATTTGGAAGAATACATACCAAATTGTTAGAGTGGCTTTTGATGGGAGTGGAATTGGGGGAAAAGCTCTTTTACTTATAACTTCATACTCTTGTAAATGATTTGAACTTGTTAAAATGATTATGTTAGTGACTGTATATTTTCCTTAATAAATGACAAGAGCCAGGCGCAGTGGCTCACTCCTGTAATCCCAGCACTTTGGGAGGCTGAGGCGGGTGGATCACCTGAGGTCAGGAGTTCGAGACCAGGATGGGCAACACAGTGAAACCCCATCTCTACTAAAATACAAAAAATTAGCCGGACATGGTGGCATGTGCCTGTAATCCCAGTTACTCATGAGGCTGAGACAGGGGAACCACTTGAACCTGGGAGGCGAGGTTGCAGTGAGCCGAGATCACGCCATTACACTCCAGCCTAGGCAACAGAGCAAGACTCCTTCTCAAAAAAAAAAAAAAAAAAGACAATAAAGATTCAAAGTTTATAAGCTTATATATATATTTTACAACATTTTCTTGATTGGCTACTGGGTTCTGGGTGCTGTGCTAGGAAACAAAGATGTGAAAAAATACTCATGATCCCTGGACTCAAGGAGTTCAGTTCAGTGGAAGACAGACAAATGGGAAATTACAATCATCACTATAAAAATAGTTTTATTATATTTCTGAGTTCTTACTATATGCCAACACTATATATTTTAACTTGTTTAATCCTTGTCACAACCATATGAGGTGGGTACTCTTATTTTCCTTATTTTACAACTGGGAGAAGTGAGAAAAAGAGCAGTTAAGCACTTAAATTTGCTTAATTCATCAAGCTTATAAGGGAGTTCAAATCTAGCCAGTCTAGACTGTATTGCCTCTTTAATAAAAATAACAGTAACAGGCAGTACTTACTGAGTACAGTATTCCGCTCTGTTCCCCTACTACCCTCTCCAGAAACTTGCCAGAGTACTTTCTAAAATGTAAGTTCGATTATTTCATTCCTCTGATCAAAACCCTCCAATGGCTCCCAATCTCTCTTAAAGTATGAGGCAGCTCTTACAAAGTCCTATGCAGCCCTACCTCATCAGCCCCTTACCTCCTGTTTAACCTCACTGCCTATCACCCTCCCCCTCACTCACTCACTCCATGGCAGCCTCCTTGCTGTTTTACACACCAGCCATCATTCTTCTGCCCCAAAACCTTTGCTCTTGCTATTCCCTGTGCCTGGAATGCCTTTCCCCTAGATATCTGCATGCCTTTCTCCCTCTCTTCATTCAGATCTCGACTCCAGTGTCATCTTATCAGAGAGGCTTACCTTGCCTAAAATAGAACTCCACTCCCATGTGCACTCCCTATCCCCCTACATACCAGTGTCATTCTTCAGAGCACTTAAGACACTCTGAGGTGCTGTATATTTATTTATTTTCTGTCTCCTTTAACTAGAATGTAAGTTCTATGAGGGAAAGATCATGCCTGCTTTATTCACAAGCCTATCTCTAGACCAAGAACAGTGTAACATAACAGGCATTGCTCAAGAAATATTTGTCAAATGAGTGACTGATTAAATAAATACACTCATTTTAAGGAGTTTGCTACATACATGGTCTCCATTTTCTTACCTCTCATTCATTCTTTTTTTTTTTTTTTTTTTGAGATCAAGTCTCACTGTGTTGCCCAGGCTGGAGTGCAGTGGCGTGATCTCAGCTCACTGCAACCTCTAACTCCCAAGTACAAGCAATTCTCGTGCCTCAGGCTCCTGAGTAGCTGGGACTACAGGCGTGTGCCACCACCCCAGGCTAATTTTTGTGCTTTTAGTAGAGACGGGGTTTCACCATGTTGGCCAGGCTGGTGTCAAACTTCTGACCTCAGGTGATCCACCTGACTCGGCCTCCCAAAGTGCTAAGATTACAGGTGTCAGCCACCACGCCAGGCCTCATTCACTTTTTAAATGACTCTAAACTAATTCTTACCCTATTTCATTGAAATTGCTCTTGCCAAGGTCACCACTGACCTCCAAGTTGCTAAATGAAATGGACATATTTCTGTCCTCATTTTATTGGATGTCTCAATAATAATTCACATAACTCTCTCTATCCCAATTCTTGATACAAATATAACCCATTCTCTTCTCTATGCTCTCTTTAAATGAACCCATCCACTCTTACTGCTTTAAACTTTTCTTTGTGCAAATGACTCCACAAATATCTCCTCTAAATCAGACTCATGTACTCAACTTCTTACTTAGCATCTCTATTTGATGGTTTCACAGGTATTATTTATTTATTCTTATGTATTCACCAAACCTGCTCCTCCCTGCTATGGAGAGAATTATGTACCCACAAAAAATGTATATGTTGAAGCCTTAACCTCCAATGTGATTATATTTGAAGACACAGCCTTTAGGAGATAACTAGGGTTAAATGAGGTCATAAGAGTGGGGCCCTTACCCAACTGAATTAGTTACCTTACAAAGAGAGACAACAGAGAATTCTCTCTCTTCAAATGCACACAAGAAAAGGACATGTAAGGACATAGGGAGAAGGCAGCTATCTGTAAGCCATGAAGAGGGGCTCATCAGAAACAGAATTGGCTGGAACCTTGATCTTGGACTTCTAGCTTTCAGACTGTGAGAAAATTAATTTCTGTTGTTTAAGCCATCTAGCCTGTGGTATTTTGTTATGGCAACCCTAGCAAACTAATACACTTCCCCATCTTGCTTTACTCAATGAAAATTGCCTCAGTCTGCCCAGTTGTTTTTCTTCTCCCTTTCTTTCACCCTACTCCTTACATTTAATCCAGTAACATCCATGATTCTACCTCCAAGATTTGTCTTAAACCCACCAACTCCACTATACTTTCACTGCCACAATCCCTACTTCAATTCACTATCATCAAAGCATTCTCTTAACTGGTTTCTCCGCTTCTACCACTGTGTCCATCCAAGCCATCTTCTATATAGCAGCCAGCAAAAACTTTAAAAATATAAATTGAATCATGTCACTTCATGCTGCATCCTTCAGTGATTTCCCAGTGGCACGCACAATAAAAATCAAAGTTTTGATTTTATTCTGAACCTGGCCTGAAGACTCTATGTCTATGTCTGGCCCAGCTGACCTGTCCAGCCTCATTAATTACCATTTTCTGTTTCATTCACCACAATCCAGATACCTTGGCCTTCTTTCACTTCCTCAAACTCACTCAACTTTTCAATCTCAGGGAATTTACACATGCTGTTTCTTTGCATGGTATGTTCAGTCCCTCACTGTTGCCAATGCTGGAGAAGCCCTCCTTTATCACCCATTTTATTATTTATTTATCTATTTATTTTAAGACAGGTCTTGCTCTGTTGCTCAGGCTGGAATGCTCACAGCTCACTACAGCCTTAACCTCCCAGGATCAATTGATCGTCCCACCCCCGCCTCCTGAGTAGCTGGCACTACAGTTGTGTGACACCACACCTGGCTAATTTTTAGAGATGGGGATTCCCTGTTGCCCAGGCTGTTCTCACTTGAACTCCTGGGCTCAAGCAATCCTCCCGCTTTGGCCTCCCTTAGTGCTAAGATTACAGGTGTGAGCCACCGTCCCCAGCCTAATCACCCATTCTAAAGTAGATTCCCTTATAATTTGAGAGTACTTTCACAGATTTCCTACATAGCAATTATCTCAATTTATTTGTTTGTTTGTTTATTCTCCTGATTAACATCTCCCTCCCCCTGCTGACCTTTAAGGTCATATCTGGTTTGTCCATCAATCTATACCCAAGTCTTACAAGTCTTCTGACCCACAGAAGGTATTCAATAGGTACTTTTGAATTCTTATTTATTCACAAATTTTATATTCAACAGTAAATTTCATAGTCTGTTTTACACATGTCCTGCACATTTCTAACAAATATCATTTGTTACTACTGTTGGGACTCTTTTTCTACTATATTTTCTAATTGGTTAGGAAAGCTATTAATTTTTTAAGTTTTTTGTTTTCGGTTTGGTTTTTTTTTTTTTTCTTTGAGACAGACACTCGCTCTGTCACCCAGGCTAGAGTGCAGTGGCATGATCTTAGCTCACAGCAACCTCCACCTCCCAGGTTCAAGCGATTCTCCTGCCTCAGTCTCCCAAGTAGCTGGGATTACAGGCACATGCCACCACGCCCAGCTAATTTTTGTATTTTTGGTAGAGATGGGGTTTTACCATGTTGGCCTGGCTGGTCTCGAACTCCTGACCTCAAATGATCTGCCCACCTCAGCCCCCCAAAGTGCTGGGATTACAGGTGTGAGCCACCACGCCTGGCCTAATTTTTCAAGTTTATCTTGTCTTCAGGTCCTTTCTAAAATCCCTTCTAAACTTTCAAGTTTTAATTGGTTATTTTAATTCTATTTCTTCCTTTATAATTATGCATGTTTCGTTTCCTGTCATATTTCAAAGATCAAAACATCTTTAAATGACAAAGAAAGCAGTCATCTATGTTTTGTTAGATTTTAACAAAAATTACTCCACAGGCCAGGTGCGGTGGCTCACGCCTGTAATCCCTAGCACTTTGGGAGGCTGAGGCAGGCAGATCACCTGAGGTCAGGAGTTTGAGACCAGCCTGGCCAACATGGTGAAACCCCATCTCTACTAAAAATATAAAATTCTTATGACTCACATTTTTTTACATTTTAATGTCTTTGAAATAGGGAAACACTTTAAAAGTGATGACATTTTTACATCTCTATAGCACAGGCAACAGTTGTGACATAGTTGTCATTGCCTGTACATGTGCAAATGTATGCAAATTAGTCATGCTGTTCATCTTAATAATCACTTAAATATGAATTGGTCTGTGCATTGCTAATATCAAACACGTTCTAAGTAATTTTGCTGTTTAAATGTCTTCAAAAGATTATACTATGATTTAGCCCTGAACAAAAAATTATTATGTTCAAAGAAAGGCAAGAGAACAAAGCAGTGTAATATACAATTAAAAACTGTGCCCAACACAGCATAGTGGCTCACGTCTATAAACCCTGCACTTTGGAAGGCGAAGGCAAAAGGATCGCTTGAGGATAGGAGACCAGCCTGGGCAACATAGTGAGAGCCAGTCTCTACAAAACATAAATATATATGTTTGTGTGTATATATGTGTGTGTGTGTGTGTATTTATATATATATCAAAATATATGTATGCCCAAATAAGCTTAAAAGCATTCTTTCAATAAATATAACATTAGAAGTCTAAGTGAAGATTAAAAAATTCTGGAGATCCATTTCAAAACAACGTAAGTATACTTAACACTACTGAACTGGTTGAAATAGTAAATTTTATGATATATGGTTTTCACCACAATAAATATTTTATAATGTTTTTAAAGTCTAGGATAAAAAACATTGTGTAATGTCTAAATGACTACTCTTCTTTCTTAGTGCTGTATAACAAACTGGTGCTTTTTACAGTAGTAGTATCTCAGAATTTGATAAAAATACAGAATTTCTTGTAAGTCCAGAGATTGCTACATGCAAGCAATGTCACGCTTATTCAAAAAAGCACTTATCTGTTTGTAGATCTAATCATTTTGTTTTAGAACATTTTTGTAAACTCAGAATATAAAGCATATAATCATAACTGATGTAGATAACAATAACTAGAAATAAAAATAATGGACATAAGTTTCTTTTTCAATATGGAATACCTCTAAATTTTGTTCTCCTCTCAAAATATACAGAGGATGAGAAACAGAAACTCCATCTTTGATGAAACTAAGAAGCAATGGCAATCCTGAATTACAATACAATATTAAGAAGATGGGGAATAGTATAGACTTGGCAATATCAAGAAAATCTAACCAAAGCACCTAGTAAAGGAAAGCCCAATAAGAAGTAAACTGATTTGCCCCAATAACCATGGAAGGGCTCAGAAACTGAAGGCCACAGGTGTTGCTGAAAGTAGGATACAATGGACTAAAATATTTGATAGAAGATTCGAGAAAGAAAATCTAGAAAACACTGGGGGGAAAAGCAACAAAGAAATATATTTTTTAAAAAGTTTCATAAGACAAGTAGATTTGTATTTACAGGATGAAAAGACCCACTGAGTACAGTGTATTAATGAAACCTGAAGGAAAGCACATGACAGCGAAATTTCAGAATATCAGGATTTTTTTTTTTGTTGTTGGAAACTGGGTCTCACTCTGTTGCCCAAGCTGGAGGGCACTGGCACAATCTCAGCTCATTGCAACCTCTACCTCCCAGGCTCAAGGGATTCTCCTGCCTTAGCCTCCCAAGTAGCTGGGATTACAGGCACATGCCACCACGCCTGGCTAATTTTTAATTTTGTGTAGAGACAGGGTTTTGCCCCGTTGCCCAGGATGGTCTCGAACTCCTGAGCTCAGGTGATCTGCCCACCTCGACCTCCCCAAGTGCTGGGATTATCTAGCACTTTGGGAGGCCACTGTGCATGGCCAGGAATTTTTTTAAAGTCATTAAAAGTTTCTGTGCCGGGCACAGCAGTTCATGCCTGTAATCCTAGCACTTTGGGAGGCTGAGACAGGCGGATCACTTAAGGTCAGAAGTTTGAGGCCATTCTGGTCAACATAGTGAAACCCTGTCTCCATTAAAAATACAAAAATTAGCCAGGTGTGGTGGTGCACGCCTGTAGTCCCAGCTTCTTGGGAGGCTGAGGCAGAATAATCACTTGAACCCAAGAGGCGGAGGTTGCAGTGAGCCGAGATCACACCACTGCACTCCAGCCTGGGTGACAGAGCCAAACTCCATCTAAAAAAAAAAAAAAAAAAAATTCTAGAGGGAGGGTCAGGCACTGTGCTCACACCTATAATCCCAGCACTTTGGGAGGCTGAGGCAGCAGGAACACTTGAGGGCAGGAGTTTGAGACCCAGAAAACATAGGAAGACCCCATCTCTAGAAAAAGTTTTTAAAAATTAGCCAGGTGTGGTGGTGTGCATCTGTAATCCCAGCTACCCAGGAGGCTGAGGCAGGAGGTTGGCTTGGGCCCAGGAGTTTGAGGCTACAGTGAGTTATAATTGTGCCACTGCACTCCAGCCTAAGGAAGAGAGTGAGACCTTGTCTCTAATAATAATAATAATAGTAATAGTAATAATAATTCTAGAGAGAGAAGGCACTGCTAAATTTAAATTACAAAGAAGTGGGCACAGTGGTTCACTCCTGTAATCCCAGCACTTTTGGAGGCTGAGGTGAGTGGATCATTTGAGGTCAGGAGTTCAAGACCAGCCTGGCCAAGATGGAGAAACCCTGTCTCTACTAAAAATACCAAAAAAAAATTAGCTGGACGTGGTGGTGCGTGCCTGTGGCCCCAGCTACTCGGGAGGCTGAGGCAGGAGAATCGCTTAAGCCTGGGAGACAGAGGTTGCAGTGAGCCGAGATCGTGCCACTTCACTCCGGCCTGGGTGACAGAGCCAGACTGTCTCAAAATGTACCCACACACACACACACTGAAAAAAAAAAAAAAAAGAATAAAGCAGATCATATCCAAATTCTACACTAAGTCAAACTATCAATCAAGTATGAAAGCAAAAAAAACCATTTTCAACATGCAAAGTCTCCCAAATTTTATCTCCCCTTGCTCCCTTTCTTTGGAGGTATTCAAAGATGTACTCCAGCATAACAAGAAAGGAGACATGGTGTTCAAGATGTAAGCAACTCATGCTAGGAAGGCAGCAATGGGCATTCTTAAGTTGTCAATTATACAGTGCATACTGAAGCAGGCAGATGAAAAACCTGGAAAAGATGCCATAGGAAAATAATGGAACTGACACAGATTATATGAAAAGTATGTGTGAATTCCTGTATTAAGGAGTATTTTATACAGCTTTTTGAGGGTATGGAAAAACTTTGCCCCAGTATTCAAAAAACACTAAGCAAATTTTAAAAAGAGACAATTATAAACCGGAAAAACCCAAAGTTATAAAGGGAAGAAAATGTAATCATAGTATACCAATTGGCTCAGCAGTGAAAATATTAAAACATTTATAATAACGAAAACATTGAATATATATTTATCTTAAAGTTATAATATAACTTAATATTATAGGTGCCTGGAAGAATATAAAGGAGGGATTCAGAAACAACTAATTTTACTGTAGCCACTGTAATCATTAGCTCTTGCTAAAGACAGTGCAAAATCACAATAGTTATTAAAAGCATCAAGGTGCTTTTATTAATTAATAATAAAATAATGTTTTTATTAATTAAAAACATTAAGTGAAAAAGAGTTCTGAGCTCCAGAAATCACAAAAAACACTGACAAATCTTATTACATAAATTAAAACATTTAATTTTAGAAAAATCATAATCAGGCCAGTCACGGTGTCAGATGCCTAGAATCCCAACACTTTGGGGGGTCAAGGCAGGTGTATCGGTTGAGCCCAGGAGTTCAAGACCAGCCTGGGCAACATGGTAAAACCCTATCTCTATAAAAAATTTAAAAATTAGCGAGGTTTGGTGGTGTGTACCTGTAGTCCCAGCTACTCAGGAGGCTAAGGTGGGGGAATCACTTGAGCCTGGGAGACAGAGGTTGCAGTGAGCCAATATCATGCCACTGCACTCCAGCTTGGGCAACAGAGTGAGGCTCCTTCTCAAAAACAAAAAAATCAGAGTCAAAGCACTAATGTAGTGGAAAAAAATGACAAAGGGTTAATTTTCTTAGTATGTAAAGAGCGAAGAGCTCCTACAAATCAAATATACAAATAATATATAGAGAACCTCTATACCAAAACTGTAAAACATTACTGGAAGATATTGCAGCAGATTGAAATAGAGGGAAATATTTTTATAATATTGAAAATTTATCAATAACATATTATAAAAATGTTAATTCTGCCCAAAATTGACATGCACAATGGAATTTCATCCAAATTCCCAGCTTGTATGTGTGAAAACCATTAAGCTAGTTCTAAACATATATGCAAATGTAAAAAAATGAGAAGAATGAGGTGGGAAGATTTAAAGATACATAGGAAGTACATAGGCCAGCCACTGTGGCTCACGCCTACAGTCCCAGCACTTTGGAAGACCAAGGTGAGAGGACTGCTTGAGTCAGGAGTTTGAGACCAGCCTGGCAATATAGCAAGACCCTGTGTCTAAAAAAAAAAAAAAAAAATTAGCCAGGCATGGTGGTGTGTGCCTACAGTCTCAGCTACTTGGGAGGCTGTGGAGGGAGGATCACTTGAGCCCAGGAGTTTGAAGCTGCAATGAGCCTGTATAATGCCACTGCACTTCAGCCTGGGTGACACAGTGAGATTCTGTTTAAAAAAAAAGGAAGAAAGAAAGAAAACACATGCTTTGTGACTTCTGAAATTGCAGACCAATAAATCAGAAGAGAAACTAATAAGAGACCCTTAATATATGGACCCTTGATTCATGGCAAAGGAATGAAGAAAAGATAGCTTTTTCAATAAATGGTGCTGGGTCAACTGAATATTCATATGGAGAAAACATGTAACTTTACATAAAATGTACTCAATACATAAAAATCAATTACAGGTAAACTGTAGATCAAAATGTGAAATGTAAATTAATAAAGCTTGTACAAGATAATATGAGAGAATATCTTCATGATCTTGAGGTAATGTTTTTTTTTCTTTGATACAGGATCTCACTCTGTCACCCAGTGTGGTGGCATGATCATGGCTCAAGGCAGCCTCAATCTCCCAGGCTCAAGCAATCCTCCTACCTCAGCCTGCTGGGTAGCTGGGACTAGAGGCACGCAACATGACACCTACCTAATTTTTAAATTTTTTTTGTAGGGACCGAGTCTCACTATGTTGCCCAGGCTGGTCTTGAATTCCTTGCCTTAAGTGATCCTCCTGCTTCAGGCTCCTGAAGTGCTGGGATTACAGGTGTGAGTGACCTTGTCATCCAGAGAAAGATTTCTTAAGATACAAAAGCGCTAATCGTAAAGGAAACAGCAAATAAATTACATTAAAAATGATAAACTAGGGCCAGGTGTGGTGGATCACTCCTGTAATCCCAGTACTTTGGGAGGCCGAAGCAAGCGGATCACGAGGTCAGGAGTTCGAGTCCTGCCTGGCCAACATGGTGAAACCCCGTCTCTACTAGAAATACAAAAATTAGCTGGCGTGGTGGTGGGCACCTGTAATCCCAGCTACTTGGGAGGCTGACGCAGGAGAATCACTTGAACCCAGGAGGCGGAGTGTTGGGAACAAGCTGAGTGTTGGGAGGGAAACTGAGGTAGGGCTTGCATGACTGACATAATGTCCTCTGGAATGTGTGTAGACTTGCTGGCTCCTTGCTTCTAGCCCTCCTAGGCTCCTATTCCCATTATCTCAAGTAGCAGAACACGTTCCTTATAAATGCTAAACTGTCACAGCTGTAGATCATGTGCCTGCCCTTTTGACCTCCACATTCTCACCACCTGTTTCTCTGTTGGATTACCAATAAACAGTGTGGGCTCCCAGAGATCGGGGCCTTCGCAGCCTCCATGATCGCGATGGCCACCTGGTCCCAGTTTTACTTCTCATACTGTCTTTTTCTCAATCCTTTGACTCTGCCAGACTTCATCACCCCTACAACCTGGTGTTGGGTCTGATCACCCCAACAGCAGAGGTTGCAGTGAGGCAAAATCACGCCACTGCACTCCAGCCTGGGCAACAGAGCAAGACTCCATCTCAAAAAAAAAAAAAAAATGATAAACTAGGCCAGGCGTGGTGGTTCACACCTATAATCCCAACACTTTGGGGGGCTGAGGCAGGAAGATCGTTTGAGCCCAGGAGTTCAAAACCAGCAGCAACCTGGTGAAACAACATCTCAAAAAAATTTTAAAAATTAGCTGGGCAGCCGGGAGTAGTGGCTCATGCCTGTAATCCCAGCACTTTGGGAGGCCGAGGCAGGCAGATCACTTGAGGCTAGGAGTTTGAGAACAACCTGGCCAACATAGCAAATTGTTAAGCTAGTTCTAAATGTATATGCAACCATACTAAAAATACAAGAAATTAGCCAGGCATGGTGGCGCATGTCTGTAATCCCAGCTACTCGGGAGGCTGAGGCAGGAGAATTGCTAGAACCCAGGAGGCAGAGGTTTCAGTGAGCTGAGATCACGCCACTGCACTCCAGACTGGGTGACAGAGCAAGACCTTGTCTAAAAAAAAAAAAAAAATTAGCTGGGCATAGTGGTGGGCACATGTAGTCCCAGCTACTCGAGAGTCTGAGGCAGGAGGATTGCTTGAGTCCAAGAAGTTGAGGCTGCAGTGAGCCATGTTCATGCACTGCACTCCAGCCTGGGTGACAGAGTTAAGACTCTGTCTCAAAAAACAACAAAAAAAGAAAAATTTTTGATTCATCAAAGATACCATTAAGAGTGAAAAGGTAAGTAAGGGTCAGGAAAGATATTTGCAAAGCATACAACTGACAATGAGTAGGTATCCAAATTATATAAAGAATTCCAGAAAATTTTTTAAAAGATAAGCACGTCAATTAAAAAATGAGGAAGAGGCCAGGCATGGTGGCTCACGCCTGTAATCCCAGCACTTTGGGAGGACGAGGCCGGCAGATCACCTGAGGTCAGGAGTTCGAGACCAGCCTGACCAACATGGAGAAACCCCATCTCTACTAAAAATACAAATTAGCTGGGCTCAGTGGCACATGCCTGTAATCCCAGCTACTTGGGAGGCTGAGGCAGGAGAATCGCTTGAACCCAGGAGGCAGAGGTTGCAGTGAGCCAAGATCACGCCATTGCACTCCAGTCTGGGCAACAAGAGCAAAACTCTGTCTCAAAAAAAAAAAGGAAGAAAGCTGAACAGGCACTACATCAAAGAGGATAAAGAGATGGCCAATAGGCATACAAAAAAGGTCCCAACCTCACTATCAGGCAGGAAAATGCAAATTAAAACTACAACTGAAGTACCAATATATACCCACCAGAATAGCTAAAACTGAAAACCAAAAACAGCATCAAGTGTTGGTAAAGATGTAGAGTGATGGGCACTCTCATACACTCCTAATGGAAATGTAAATTATAAAAACCACTTTGGAAATCAGTTTTGCATTATGTACTAAAAGTAAATATATCCTATCCAGTGACTCAATGATGCTACTCCTAGGTAATATAACCAACATAAGTATGTCACGCATGTGTGTATATGTACATGTTCATGATGGTACTTGAATGTTCACAGCAGCAGTATCTGTAATAGTCCCTTAACACAAATAACACAAACATCTGAAGAATGGATAAATTGGGATATATTTATGCAACAGAATACTACACCAGCAATTAAAATGAATAAATTATAGCCACAGGCAACAACATAAATGAATTTCAGAATTGCAATATTAAACAAAAGAGGGCAGACACAAAGAATACACTGTGTATGATTCTATTTATATAAAGTTTTAAAAGCAAAACTAATAGATGGTTATAAGTCAAGACAGTGGATATCTTAGGGAAAAGTGAAAAGGGTAGTGATTGAAAAGGGGCAGAAGGAGAGCTTCTGAGATGCTGAGAATGCTCTATTTGTTAAAGGTGGAGGTTATATGAGTATGCTTTGTGATGATTTACTTATTTCATATATGTATTATGCTTTTTTTTCTTTATTTCTTCTCATATGTATTATGCTTTGACAAAAAGGGAAATTTAAAAAAAAATCTCTTTGATGAACACTGTTTCAAATACATGCTTATCATTCTAACCTCATGACCTCTATTTTCATCCCCAGAAATCTGCCTTTGGTAGCAACTAGAGGTACTCAGTGTCATATTTAAAGAGAGAAGGGAAATATCAGAAGAAAAAAAATCTATTAGATGTTAAACAGGTGAGTATTTTCTTTGTGTAATGTACCTGTTTGCTTTTGTCATGAATTTATAGTCTTCTCTGAAGTGAAAAGTAATCTGTTAAACTCCCAATGTTAAAAAAGTAATACATCTTTCAAGTAAAATACTTTTGTTATTTAGTTTTGAGATATTATGCTTCTTGTCAATTTACTGTACTCCTTTTTAACTTATAACTGTATAAACAACTATACTATTTTCACAAAATGTAGTATTAACATAAAGAAAATGATTTGGCAAAATGCAACTATAAAAATATTTTTACCTGCAAGAAGTCAATCTGCATACACGTGCTAGGTAACTCTGGTGTCTCTGTCATAAAGTTTTCATACTCAGTGCTATCTGGAAACTGACTGCATCCTAGCTGTGAGCTGTGTCCTCTGACCATTACACCACTAGTAGCTGATCCTTTTACTTGATGTCCTTGAAACTCAACAGGCTACAGGTAAATTATTAAAAATAAGAACTGCATAACTATATGTTGACATATATATTCACAAAGTAAACACACAGAATACAATACATAATTCAGCTTTTTATTACAGGAACTATTGTAAATACCAGGAACTAATGCTGAAAACCGGGAAATTCTCCTATTATCCTAAAACATACGTTATGGGTAACAAATTCAAAGTGCATCGATTTAACTACATTTAAGTTCAACATTAAAAAGTATGATTTAGGCTGGGCATGGTGGCTCACATCTGTAATTCCTGCACTTTGGGAGGCCAAGGTGGGTGGATCACTTGAGGTCAGGAGTTCAAGATCAGCCTGACCAACATGGTGAAACCCCATCTCTACTAAAAATATAAAAAATTAGCCAGGCGTGGTGGTGCACGCCTGTAATCTCAGCTACTCGGGAGGCTGAGGCCGGAGAATTGCTTGAACCAAGGAGTTGGAGGTTGCAGTGAGCTGAGATCACGCCACTGCACTCCAGCCTGGGTGACATAGAGAGATTCCATCTCAAAAAAAAAAAAGTATGATTTATAGCCAATGAGGGGGAAACAAATGAATAAGTATAATTTTATTACAAGCATAAAGATGAGTATAATAATAATAGCTAATTAAACCAGAAATATTTAGTTGCTTCTCAATGCTTCCACTATATATTATACAACTATGCATTACATACAATACTATATATTATAGACTCACAACTTCATACTTCAATGAAGTTTTTCCTTATTTCTGTACTAATTGTACTGTAAGCCCCTTGTGAGCAGAGATGTTTTGCTTCATCTAGGTACCACACAGTACTTGGTATACAGGAAGCAATAAATAAACAGCCAGTAACAGAAAGGGAACAATGAGAAAGAATGCAAACAGCATTTCTCTTTACTTAGGGGTTTTGTAAAATATCAGGCTCAACTGCAGGATGGGTGGTGGACTCTCTGCCTCTCAGTAGAAAGATGTGATATCCTACTGCTCTGAGAGCAAAAGCCTAAGAGTGTGATTCCAATGTAGACATGTTCCTTAGACAGGCTCTTTCACTCAGTCTGTTTTCAGGCTTCAAATGGCTTTCTCTGCTGCCCCCTGGAGGGTTCTAGGATTTTTTACTCCATACAAAGTAAAGCTTACCCAAAATGTGGAAAAATAAGACTGTAACAGAGTCAAAGGAATGTAGGTAAAGGATTAATTCATTTTTAACTAACAAAATGACAGTAATATATAATTTGAATATACTCTTATTCAAAAATGAAGAACTGTAAATCACACATTTGAAAGAAAAATCTAATTTAAATGCCCCTTTAATAGGACTTTGGTGGAAAATATTCTTCTGAATTTAAAAATAAACATTGCAATAAAAATGAGTCTCAACTGTTAAAGATTCTGTATATTTCTGCTTCTGCTTTGTCTGATGGGTAATGTATACTCCCCACAAGGAAACAGGTACATTACCTCCCCCACTTTTTTTTTTTTGAGACAGAGTTTCGTTCTGTCACCCAGGCTGGAGTGCAGTGGCACAATGTTGGCTCGCTGCAACCTCCACCTCCCAGGTTCAAGTGATTCTCATGCCTCAGCCTCCAGAGTAGCTGGGACTACAGGTGTGTACCACCACACCCAGCTAGTTTTTGTATTTTTAGTAGAAACGGGGTTTTGCCATGTTGACCAGGCTGGTCTCGAACTCCTGGCCTCAAGTGATCCACCCGCCTTGGCCTCCCAAAGTACTGGGATTACAGGCATGAGTCACCATGCCTGGCCAAAATAGGTACCTTGCCTTCTATGCTGCCATGTAGATCTCTTCCAGAGGTGTGTTGGGTTTTAGGAGTAGAACTGCTATTTACAAAACCCATCCATTTTTATGCTGTTGTCTTTGTTAATTTTTGATATAGAATAGGTAGCACTACTTAGATGTTGGTTACGTATACTTCTATATACTCAGAAGTATAAGTGGCAGAATAGACTATAATAAGTTAAAGGGTATAAAGATACTCATTTTGTTCCCCACAGAGTATTCATTAATTTTACTCTACATGGCTTTGTGTCCAACCCCTAGAGTATCCTATGTACGGAAGGATAATGTAAACACTGTTATTATTAGCTCATTAGTAGTATAGAGAAAGTTTAAGACCAAAAAGGGGGGCAGGAGTCATTAAATAGTTTTTCTTGTTCTTAAAACCAGACTTATTTATTATGCTACTAACCTTCTGCCTGTGAAAACTCTGATACTTGTTTTTTTGTTTTTTTGTTTTAAACAGAAAAGAAAATGTAGTTGGTTAAATAAATCGATGTTCTTCACAAATTTTACCTTAGGGTCACAGGTTTTTCTCTCTATTTGTTTAGGAATAACAGCTTGAAAAGCAGTCTCTTCTTTACTTCCCGAGGAAGAGAACTAGGATAAAATATGAATAAGTTATCTAGTTAGCTAGAATAGTTTCACAGGTGATTCATGATTTTGATGGAAAAATAATTGCAAAACTTAAGTTTGCCCTGTGAAAACACACTTGCCATCTCTATCTTGCTTCTGTCTACACACACATACAAGCTAGCTCTCCCTGGCAAAGGGGTACTTTAGCAGGTAAGTCACTATGCTAATTAATTTGAAAACTTAGCACATTAGAAAATTCTGATTCTAAATTTTTAATTAAATCTTTGAACACTAGAAAAAAATGCCAGGTATAACTGGGTGCAGTGGCTTACGCCTGTAATCCCAGCACTTTGGGAGGACGAGGCAGGCAGATCACCTCAGGTCAGGAGTTCGAGACCAGCCTGACCACCATGGAGGAACCCCATCTCTACTAAAAATACAAAATTAGCCTGGCGTGGTGGCACATGCCTGTAATCCCAGCTACTCAGGAGGCTGAGGCAGAATTGCTTGAACCCTGGAGGCAGAGATTGTGGTGAGCTGAGATCACGCCATTGCACTCCAGCCTGGCCAACAAAGCAAAACTCCGTCTCAAAAAAAAAAAAAATAGAAAAAGAAAAAAATGCCAGGTACATAATAAATCACCTGTCAAACCTAATACTATGTTAATGCAGATCATCTATTTTAAAATTAGTAAGAAATGAAAGGAAGAAAAATTGAAAAAGTGTAATTGACTATTTGAAGAATGAATCATCTCCTAGCAATCACAAAACACGATACTGACAACAGCAACAAGTCATTTTTAGTTCATCAAGTAATATACAAAATAACCATAATTTTTCATATGACTTGGATAGACACAGAAAATGAATTCAACTACAAAAGTAATTGTTTAAATGTTTAACAAATATGAAGAAAAAACACTTCCCCAACAGACCAGAGATAAAGTAGTATATTTCTTCAAATAATGGTCACTTTCCTTTAATAACACTTATATATAAGCACAACTGCCAACCAAGTAGCTCTTAAAAATATTCAACCTATATTTTAGAATTAGAATTTTTTCTTTTTTTTTTAAGAGACAGGGTCTTGCTCTGTCACCCAGGCTGGAGTGCAGTGGCGCAATCGTTGTTCACTGAAGCCTTGACCTCTGGGATCAAGTAATCCTCCTGCTTCAACCTCTTGAGTAACTGGGACTACAAGCATGTGCCACCATGCCACCTAATTATTTTTATTTAAAAAAATTTTTTTTAGAGTTGGAGTCTCACTGTATTGCCCACACTGATCTCAAACTCCTGGCCTCAAATGATACCCCTGTCTTGGCTTCCCAAAGTGTTGGGATTACCCGTGTGAGCCACTGTGCCAAGCCAGAATTACAATTTTCTAATATACAGTTTTCAAAATTAATTCGCATACTACCTTCTCGCAAGAATAGCTCTTTTGCAATATGTAGTTAATTATACTTTTAAAAATGAGGCAGAAGTGGCATTAAGGGTATCTTCAAAGAACACACTGTTTTGAAAGTTCCTTCTACCACCAACATACATAAAGAGGTTGTTTCAGAGAGTTGTAGTAAGAAGAGCCATTATAGGCCAGGCACATGCCTATCTATAATCCCAGCACTTTGGGAGGTGGAGGTGGGAGGATTGCTTGAGGCCAGGAGTTCAAGACCAGCCTGAACAATGTAGTCAGACTCCATCTCTACAAAATAAAAAAATAAAAAATAATTATCCAGCCATCGTACTGTGCACCTGTGGTCCCAGCTACTTTGGAGGCTGAAGCAGGAGGATGGCTTGAGCACTGGAGGTCAAGGCTGCAGTGAGCTGTGACTGTGCCACTGCACTCTAGTCTGGGTGACAGAGTAAGAACCCGTCTGAAAAAAGAAAAAAAAAAGAGCCATTACAAAAATACAAATGTACTCCTATCTTAAAGCTAAAAACAGATTTAAATAATTTTTATTGCAATAGATTATTAAGACCTTTTCATTACTGTGAGATGACAGCATATTTTTATTGTCTTGTTAATAAGAGGGGGATCATACTATGTCATATTATGTGGTCCAGGCTGGACTCTATCTCAACTCAAACGATCCTCCTGCCTCAGCCTCCTGAGTAACTGAGATTATAGGCACGGGCCACTGCTCCCGGCTTCAACAGACTTTTAAAAAATATATGATATCTAAGTGGCAACTCATTCTAAGCGAAAAAATAATGATAGTGTTTATCTGTAGTTTATACTCTGTGATACCTGTCCTTAAAAAATTTTAAACCTAGGCTGGAGGTGGTGGCTCATGCCTGTAATCCCAGCACTTTGGGAGGCCGAGGCAGGCGGATAGCCTGAGGTCAGGAGTTCGAGATCAGCCTGACCAACATGGAGAAACCCCATCTCTACTAAAAAAATACAAAATTAGCCAGGCGTGGTAGTGCATGCCTGTCACCCCAGCTACTCAGGAGGCTGAGGGAAGAGAATTGCTTGAACCCAGGAGGCGGAGGTTGCGGTGAGCCGAGATCACACCATTGCACTCCAGCCTGGGCGACAAGAGTGAAACTCCACCTTAAAAAACAAAAAGAAAAAATTTAAACCTTATTTTTTCAAGTGAAAAAAAGACAAAAACGTGATCATTTGTAAGCTAAATTTTGTAGTTGCCAATTGTTTATAATTTTATATGTGTAATCTTGTTACATAAGAATGAAAAATGGCAAGTAGCCATAATACAGGTGTTTTCTTTTTATTTTGTTCTGTTTTAGGCAACAGAGCTATAGGGATAATTGTCAATGACCCATGGGTTTGGTAATGTTTGCAAGTTTGCAAAACTAACTTCATGGTAAAGAATTTGTTATTTAACCAAATTATATTGATCATATAGTACATTTATACTAAATGAAAATCACTACAAATGATTTCAAAAACTGACAATATATAATACAAACTTAGATGTATTTATTAACTTAAAATTACATGCCATACCTCTATATACAAATATAATTGGCTAATTTTTTTTTTTTTTGAGACAGAGTCTCACTCTGTCACCCAGGCTGGAGTGCAGTGGCGTTATCTCGGCTCACTGCAAGCTCCGCCTCCCGGGTTCATGCCATTCTCCTGCCTCAGCCTCCCGAGTAGCCGGGACTACAGGTACCTGCCACCACGCCCAGCTAATTTTTTGTAGTTTTGGTAGAGACGGGGTTTTACCATGTTAGCCAGGATGGTCTCTATCTCCTGACCTTGTGATCCACCCGCCTCAGCCTCCCAAAGTGCTGGGATTACAGGCATGAGCCACCATGCCCAGGGGCTAATTTATATTTTAAATAACTTACCTGCACAGACTGAAGTGGTTCACTTAGTTCAACTTCATCTTCTTTTAGTATCTTAGGAATAGAATATTAATTTTAGATAAACTAATAGGCAATAATAATTTAGAAAACAAAAATATAAATTTCTATTAGACTTAAGAAATACTAGGGCTGGGCATGGTGGCTCACACCTGTAATCCCAGCACTCTGGGAGGCCAAGGTGGGCGGATCACCTGAGGTAAGGAGTTCGAGACCACCCTGGCCAACATGGTGAAACCCTGTCTCTACTAAAAAATACAAAAACTAGCCGGGTGTGGTGGCACACCCCAGCTACTCAGGAGGCTTAGGCAGGAGAATCACTTGAACCCGGGAGGAGGAGGTTGCAGTGGGCCAAGATTGCGCCACTGCACTCCAGTCTGGGCGACAAGAGCAAGACTCCATCTCAAAACGAAGAAAAAAAAAAAAGAAATACTAGAACACCATCACTAATATGAAATAAAAACTGGCCAGGCATTGTGGCTCACACCTGTAATTCCAACACTTTAGAGGCTGGGGCTGGAAGACTGCTTGAGCCCATGAGTTTGAGACCAGCTGGGGAACATAGTGAAACCCCATCTCTACAAAAAATGTAACAGTTAGTTAGGTATGGTGGCATGCACCTGTAGTCCCAGCTACTCAGGAGGCTGAGGCAGGAGAATCACTTGAGCCCAGGAGGTCAAGGCTGCAGGAGCCAATCACGCTACTGCAGTCCAGCCTGGGCAACAGAGCAATAACCTGTCTCAGAAAAAAATACATACATAAAAAGTAAAATCCTGATAAAACAGTATTGTCATTTAGCAAGAATTTAAAAAGCTTACAACGGTACTAGTAAAAATGAAGTAAAATAAATATTCTAATTGTAAAACATTAAAATTTTTATATTTGAAAATATCATGGCCAAGCACGGAGGCTCATGCCTATAATCGCAGCACTTTGGGAGGCCGAGGTGGGCAGATTACCTGAGGACAGGAGTTCGAGACCAGCCTGGCAAACATGGCGAAACCCCATCTCTACTAAAAATACAAAAATTATCCACACATGGTGGCGTGAGCCTGTGGTCCCAGCTACCCAGGAGGCTAAGGCAGGAGAATTGCTTGAACCCAGGAGGCAGAGGCTGCAGTAAGCCGAGATCATGCCACTGCTCTCCAGCCTGGGCAATAGAGCAAGACTCCGTCTCAAAAAAAAGAAAGAAAAGAAAAAAAAAAGAAAATATCAAGAACCCAAGAAAGAAAGTTGTTCCTAGCCTTCCAAATAATTACTTCTACTTCTGGAATCAAATCTAAGGAAAAAACTTAAAATGCAAACAATGATTTATGTGTAAAAACATTTATTAAAGTGTTACTTATAATAGCAAAATGCTGGAAATTATTTAAATGACCAAAACAGAGAACTATTTGTCCAAAGCACAAGATAGCCATAGGATGGATGGTAAATAACTTTTAAAAAGTATGTTTAAGAAGAATTATTAATAATGTAAGATAATACAACGATATTAAGGGGAAAGGATATAAAACTATTTATATACATCAATCTAACCATTTTTTTTAACTGGACACAAAAAAATCTGGAAACATTAATAAATATTCTGAGAGGCAGGGTAGGTTTTATTTTTTTCTTCACTGTTTTCTGTATTTAGAAAAAAGAAAAAAAAATCAACATTATTAAAAGGGGAAAAAAAGGACCAGTAACATAAAGAATAAAGTAAGATATAAAATGGAGGCAAGTGAGGCCGGGCCTGGTGGCTCATGCCTGTAATCCCAGCACTTTGGGAGCCTGAGGCGGGTGGATCACTTGAGGTCAGGAGTTGGAGACCAGCCTGGCCAACATGGTGAAACTCCATCTCTACTAAAAATACAAAAATTAGCTGGGTGTGGTGGCACGCACCTGTAATCCCAGCTACTTGGGAGGCTGGGGCAGGAGAATCACTTGAACCTGGGAGATGGAGGCTGCAGTGAGCCAAGATCGTGCCACTGCACTCCAGCCTGGGCGAAAGAGAGAGACTCCATCTCAAAATAAATAAAAACAAAAATAAAATGGAGGCAAGTGAAACATTCTACTTTCTTTTGTTCCAAACATGTCTGTAGAAAGACCAGTGCCATATAATGAAAGAACTGACCCTCCAAAAGTGCTAACAGCATCCCCATTGAGTGAGAAACACTCATCTAGATGATTTATCCTAGAATTTCAATTCATCCTAATTAGAACTATTATTTTTTATATAACTACCATGGTTCCCAAACTGTGCAACAAGGTACCCTGAGGTGGCACAATGAACTCACAGGAGCTCCATAAGGTGTTTTATATGTAGGGTAACAGTGTCACCTGACATCTGTCTGACACCTAATGAACTACTAACTCCAGGTCTGTTTCTACATCAGATCTTGCTACATTTCTTTCAATGACATTGCACCTTTGTGAAGCTGGGTTCTGAGAAACTGCTGTGATAAAAAGCAATTATCATGAGAAAATCAACGTGTAACAAGAAATAAGGTGGTGTTACCTAATCTATTCCAAGGTTTGAGAAGTTGTATAGTGCCCAACAGAGGTACACATTCCATTAGTAACTGTGGGGTTTTGTTTTTTTTTTTTGAGATGGAGTCTCACTCTTGTTGCCCAGGCTGGAGTGCAATGGCATGATCTCGGCTCACTGCAACCTCCGCCTCCTGGGTTCAAGTGATTCTCCTGCCTCAGCCTCCCAAGTAGCTGAGATTACAGGTGCATGCCACCATGCCTGGCTAATTTTTGTGTTTTTAGTAGAGATGGGGTTTCACCACATCAGCCAGGCTGGTCTCGAATTCCTGACCTCAAGTGATCTGCCTGCCTCAGCCTCCCAAAGTGCTGGGATTACAGGCGTGAGCCTCCACGTCCAGCCATGTAACTGTGTTTTTTAACAAACAAAATGCTTACAAAGTTACTAGGAAATACTTGAGTTGCTTAATACTATTAACTACATAATAAATGAAACTGTTAGGCATTTCTTTTGGCTGAGGAAGGCAATGAAAAATTACTGAGATACAGCAGGAGTCATGAACCAAGATAGCTTGGGACTGTATTACTATAATTCTATTACAAATTATAGAACATTCTTATCAAAATAAAAAAAACATACTCTTAGAAAAAAAACCTGTACCTGTTGAGAATCCTTGTGCAGATGAGGAGACTTTGGTGAAACTACTGTAATAAATGGTTTCCTCACTGTAATGGAGAAAAGAAATAATCATATCATTGTTATATATAGCAGTACTCTAAAATTTAACTTATTCCTAAAACCAAAACAAGGAATATAACTTAAATTTTAAGATCAGACAATCTTGGTAATTGTTCAATCTGGAATGTAGCACTTGAGGATTCACTGTACTGTTCTCTGTTTAGATTAAAACATTTTTATGATAAAAATTTTAAAATATTTAGAATGAAAGCCTTTTTGTTTACTTTCTAAGTCAATAGTAGGAATGTTTCCTTGTACTCCTTTTTTACACTAATTAAAAAATAAATACTAACCCAATAGTTAATAACCTATACTAAAAATGCTAAAAATGAAGTACCGGACAACTGTTAGGAAAGAAAGTCAAGACTCCCAGTATACTGTTGCTATGTACAAACAGAAAAGAAAAACAGAGTCGGGCATGGTGGCTCATGCCTGTAATCCCAGCACTTTAGGAGGCCAAGGCAGGCAGATCACTTGAGGCCAGGATTTCAAGACCAGCCTGGCCAACATGCTGAGACCTTGTCTCTACTAAAAATACAAAAATTAACCAGACATGGTGGTGCACAACTATAATCCCAGCTACTCAGGAAGCTGAGGCAGGAGAATCACTTGAACTCGGGAGGTGGAGGTTGCAGTGAGCTAAGATCGCACCACTGCACTCCAGCCTGGGTGAGAGTGAGACCATGTCTCAAACAAAAGAAAAAAAAACAGCACTTCATGCTATTTCTAGTCTATCTTAAATCCATTTTTACTATGGCTTAAGAAAAAAATTCTATATTCTAAAAAATTCACTCAACAATTATTTTCCAAGTGCAGTGTGCCAGGCACTAGGGAAATAGCAGTGAACAAGACAAAAAAAAATTCCTTGAAAAAAGAGAGACACAAAAGACAAACAAATAACTAAACCAGATAAATTCAGATTATGATACAAAAGGGTATCTCATTGAACAGTGATATGATACAGAACGATTTTTGATACAGGAATTAGGAAAAGTTTCTCATGGGAAGTAACATTTAAGTTGAGATGAAGAAAAAACTCAGCTATGACAAGGGTAAAAGTGTTCGGGTAAAAGGCTGAATACAAAACAGCAGAAAAGTTGGCAAGCCTGCAGAATGCAAAGGAGTGCAGGGTGGCTAGTTTTGCCACCTTATCAGGTATCCATTTAAAAATAGAAATTTTTTTTCTTAAAAAAAAGTACATATTCAATAATCTCCTCTTCTAAAATCACAAAAAGACTAATTTTAAAGTGATAATTACGGTAAAAAATCATAGCTATAACTAGTGTAAACTTCATTTTTAGGCAATTGCTATTTATGATTTCATTGTTTTCCTGCTAAAATTCAGAATAAAATAAAAAATAATTTTGGAACTTGACATTTCTAACAAGTTTTTTTAAAACACCAGATGAAAATTGATATTGTTTTCCTTTACTGCCTTTGCTCCAGAAAAACATTCTAAATTAACATTTCTAAGCTATATACAATTATCTCACAAAAAATTTAGAGTTTTAACACTTTCGCACATTCTAAATTGGTGGCAAAATTTCTTCTTCTCTAATTTTGCTTTAAACTTCATAAAAGTATGTTATACCCTAGTGATTCAATCTTCTCAAACTGTCTCAAGCAACCAACTTAATCCTTTTTAGAGAAATATATTTGTATCAAAAAAGCAAATTTAGTCGATCATTACTCATGGATTCTGCCTACTCCCTAAAGTTTATTTGTAACCCCAAATCAGTATTTGCTATACTTTCATGGTCATTTGCAGACATACATAGAACAGCAAAAAACGAATTGCCTGAAGCGCATGTTCTCAAGGTAACACTCTGGCTTCTTGTTTTAGCTTATGTTGTAAACAATTATCTTTTTCATGGTTGCTTAGTGCCACATTTTTCATTTTTGTGCTATTTATTGGTAATTTCACTACTTAAAATGTCCCCAAAGGGGCCAGGTACAGTGGCTCACGCCTATAATCCCAGCACTTCGGGAGGCCGAGGTGGGCAGATCACCTGAGGTCAGTTCAAACCAGCCTGACCAACATAGCGAAACCCCGTCTCTAATAAAAAAAAACAAAAATTAGTTGGGTGTGGTGGCACACGCCTGTAGTCCCAGCTATTTGGGAGGCTGAAGTAGGAGAATTGCTTAAACCCAGGAGGCGGAGGTTGCAGTGAGCCAAGATCGCGCCACTGCACTCCAGCCTGGGCAACAGAGCGAGACTCTGTGTCAAAAAAAAAAAAGTCCCCTAAGAATAGTGCTATCTAGTGTTCCCAAGGGCAAGAAGACTGTGATATTCCTTATGAGGAAAGTGCATATGTTAGGTACATTTTTTATAGGTAAGAGTTATATTGCTGTTGGCTATGAGTGAGTTTAATGTTAATGAATTAACAATATATATTAAATAAGGTTCTTTAAGCAGAAACATACATAAAACAAGGTTACGTATTCATAAATTAATGAAAATGTTCTGACCACAGGCTTGCAGGAACCTAACCCTGTATTTCCCATAGGAGCAAGGTTTACTATTACTAGTTATGTGTTTGCAGTGACTTCACAGAACTACTGCAAATAATCAGAATCAACTTTAATTTTCTTTCCAACTTGATGACAGAAACCAGCTGGTTTCCCAAAACTAATTTTTTTTTTTAAGATGGAGTCTTGCTCTGTCACCCAGGCTAAAGTGCAGTGACACAATCTCTACTCACTGCAACTTCTGCCTCACGGGTTCAAGCTATTTTCCTGCCTCAGCCTCCCCAGTAGCTTAGATTACAGGTCCCCACCACCACACCCGACTAATTTTTATATATTAGAGATGGGGTTTCACCATGTTGGCCAGGCTAATCTTGAACTCCTGACCTCTGGTGATCCGCCCACATCGGCCTCCCAAAGTGCTGGGATTACAGGCATGAGCCACCACACCTGGCCTTCAAAACTAAATTCTATAATCCCTAAATCTCCATGCTAGAACTTTGTATTCTTATATGGTATCACATAACTTTATCTACTCATATTTATTTTTCATTAAAGCTTTTTACTTTTTTTTTTTTTTTTAAGATGGGAGTTTCATTCACTCTTGTTGCCCAGGAGCACAATGGCATGATCTCGGCTCACTGCAACCTCCACCTACCAGGTTCAAATGATTCTCCTGCCTCAGCCTCCCGAGTAGCTGGGATTACAGGTGCCTGCCACAATGCTCATCTAATTTTTTATATTTTTAGTAGAGACAGGGTTTCATCATGTTGGCCAGACTGGTCTCGAACTCCCGACCTCAGGTGATCCACCCGCCTCTGCCTCCCAAAGTGCTGGGATTACAGGCATGAGCCACTGTGCCTGGCTACTTACTTTTAATATTTTAGAAAATAAACTAACAATTATCTTCAAACTTAACTACATTTCAAAGAATCATTTTAGTAGGTACAATAAGTTAATTTATATTTTTCTCAGGAATCACATGAGATACTCAAAAGTTCAATTTTACCTTTTGATTTGTGAACTTTATAAATTTGTAAAGGTTTCTTACTAGCAGTAATATTGATATAACAATTTGGAAGCTATCTTGTATTGCAGATTTGAGAAGGTATACTGATACTGGGAGCCAGGATCCTTTCATATTGTGAGAGTACAGAAACACAATTATGGGGCTGGGTGCAGTGGCTCATGCCTGTAATCCTAGCACTTTGGGAGGCCGAGGCAGGTGGATCTCCTGAGGTCAAGAGTTCAAGACCAACGTGGCCAACATGGTGAAACCCCATCTCTACTAAAAATACAAAAAAAAAATTAGCTGGGCATGGTGGCGGGTGCCTGTAATTCCAGCTACTGGGGAGGCTGAGGCAGGAGAATCACTTGAACCCATGAGGCGGAGCTTGCAGTGAGCCGAGATCGCACCACTGCACTCCAGCCTGGGTGACAGAGCAAGACTGTGTCTCAAAAAAAAAAAAAAAAGAAACACAATTATGGGCCAGGAGTGGTGGCTCACGCCTGTAATCCCAACACTTTGGGAGGCCGAGGTGGGCAGATCACGAAGTCAGGAGTTCAAGACCAGCCTGGCCAACATAGTGAAACCCTGTCTCTACTAAAAATACAAAACAATTAGCTGGGCGTGGTCGTGGGTGCCTGTAATTCCAGCTACTCAGGAGACTGAGGCAGGAGAATCACTTGAACCCAGGAGGTGGAGGTTGCAGTGAGCCGAGATCGCGCCACTGCACTGCAGCCTGGACGACAAGAGTGAAACTGTCTTAAAAAAAAAAAAAAGACATAACTGTGGAACGGAGGAAAGAGGAAAAGAACTCTGTGGTATAGGATTGGAATTAGAGGTATCAATATGAACTCACTTTTTTAAAAAAATGTATTCCCTAGTACCTGTCCAAAAATGAATAAGAATAGATTTAATTAGCTAAGCATGGTGGTGCATGCCTGTAATCCCAACTACTTGGGAGGCAGAGGTTGCAGTGTGTCACTCCAGCCTGGGTGACAGAGTGAGACTGTCTCCAAAATAAAAAAAAGATTGACATATACACACACATACATACATATATATGTACGTTTTTTGACATATATTCACATAAATGTGCCAATATATGCTTATATACGCATAGAATATTTATGGAAGGATATTCTAGAAGAAAACTGTAGCTAATTCTGAAGGGTAGAATAAGGGATGTGGTTGGATGGGGACTTTTCATTGCTACTATTCTCTATTAATATTGGTTTTACCAAGTACATGTATTACCTATTTAAACACTATGTAATTCTTTAATGTATCACCCAGAGCTAATATCTTCTTTCTTTATAGCTCAAAGACCTATAAAGAAAACATTCCAAAATAGACATGCAATTCTAACCTTCAGGAGGGCTATCTGGCTCATACGTCTGTTGAGTTCCTTGCTGAAAGACAGTATTTTTCTTTTTCAATATTTCCAAGCTGTCTAAAGCAGTACTGTGTTCACATAGCGACTTTAAAATAGAAATGGTATTTACTAATCCAGAAAGTTCTGAAGAATTTCTAGGATTCCAGTATTGTTTGCCTTCTCTGGCAGTTTCAACCTCAACATGGTCAGGGGGTGGACTTCTAATCTTTCCCAAATCTTCAGGTTCAGATATATGTGCTTCTGTGTCTTTGGAAATAAGATGCTTTTTTCCCAGTGGGTAAAACAAAGAATTGGAAATGTGGGTATTTGATTTATCAAGTGCAATACATTCATAGTGATTCTGATTGGTATTTAATAGTTGGACACTGTTGTCACTACTAGAAGTTGAGGGTAAAACATGTTCATCATTTTTGTCTAAGTCACTTCCCAAAATAAAAGGCTGAGGTTGAGCATCTTCTGAAAATAGATTACTGTTTTCAGCAATCTGGTTTTGAATATGAGGAATATGTAAATTCATGTTTATACCTTTAGATTTATTCGGGGGTAAAGCAAAATCATAGTTAATTCTGACTTCTTGAATAGGTTTATTAGCATCTTCTTTATTATCTCCGTATACAGCATCAGTCCACTTGAAAGATTCAAAATTGCTTAATGTGTCACTATACTCCTCTATTTCTTTTCCTGTGTTTTCAGTTTTACATATTCCCATGTCAAAACCCACATAAGTTTTATCACAAAACTGTGATGGCAGAGTCTCTTTAACAGGAAATGTCACTGTAGGTTTGTCACTAACAGATGTTAAGAATGGCAAATGTTCACCCTCAATCTCTTCACAGTTTGTATTCTCAGACCTCTTTTGAAAACATGAATTGCCATCATTAACCAAAATGTCCTTTACCCAACTCTCTGAATCCTGGGAAATTTTGTTGCTTTCCTGTGATTCCTCCTCAGTGTCACTGGTCTCAAAATTGTTCAGATTAAAAGTTACCTCCAAAAATGGTTGTGTTACATTACTCAGAGATTCATGAATACTATTAAGACTTTCATTATCCATTTTACTTTCAGAAATCATGTCTGTAATGTCATCAGAGATCCTAGAATTATTACTAGATTCAATTTGGAGATGTTTCAGTTCTGGCAGAGATGACTCTGATTGTTCATACTCCTTTTCCAGTGTTCCACATGTATTTACCTCCTGAGCATTTTCTTTAATGAGAACTGATCCTTTAATGCACCCCTTGTCATTTTGATTAAAAGGTATTTTATTATCTTCTTGAATGTCAGATTCTGATAATATACCATCATTTTCTGCACTGCTACAAGTAACCTGTAAGCTACTGCTTTCATTGAATGAAGGAATTTCTAATTTTACTTCCTGATTCCAGGATGGATCATTATTACCGACTGACTGGTCTACATTATACTTTTTCCTCTCTTCAGCATACGTTTCAACGAACTGTATAATTTTTTGTAATGAAAGGTCTTTCAAATTAGAATTTACATCATCTTCCTGGGCCTTGGGTTTCCTTTCTGTATCATTCCCATCTACAGTAGAAGAATGTATAGGTGAACTCTGTGAGGATAAATACATGGCCCACCGGCTTTTATTTCTCATGGTATTTTCTGATTGATGCTGGTAGTATAAATTTTCTGTGCTCTTCATCTCAGCACACTCTTCCTGTTGAATTAGGTACTTTGGTTTAGTAGCAATTTTTAAACTTCCTTGTGGTTGTTTTTGAGGAAAATGCTCTGTCATCTCAGAATTTAGTTCCTCACATGAACTAGATGATTCGGACTTCAGAAGAGCTAATATCTGTGCTTTGCTTCTGATGTTTTGTGAAACTCCTGAATAGTGAGATGCCAAACTATCTCTTTTCACAGGCTCATTGGTCAGTAAAGAGTCTGAAAGCTTATTTCCAGAATTGACAGGTGAGCAAAAATAATTTTCTTCACACAGCACTTCTGGGTTAATCTGGAAGGATGGAGAAAAAACCGAAGAAAAATCCATGGCATTTCTCTCCCTGTTCTTGTAAGTCACAATGTTCTCAGGGTCTGCCAGTATATTATTTACATCTTTCTTGCCAACAGTAGGAAACAAAGGAGGCATGCTGCAGAATGGAGAAAAAATAGTAGGGCCAGTTTTCTTAGCCTCATGTGATGCAGCTGATTCACCACTTTCCATAATAACCATTTTCTTTGGAACCTGACGTGGTCCTTGAAAACCCTGAAAATATTAAAATAACTGTTAGGTGTACCATTACCCATTAAGAAAATGTGAAATGAACTGGCTAAGAAAAAAAAAGGAGAAGGATTGTTTCTGGTTTGCCTAAGGTAAAGTAATAATTCAGATTTAAAGTTTGTCAAAGTACATTCATTTGTAATAAGATTTTTCAAAGTAGGGTTTACTTCCTTTCTACCTAAGTATACTATGAAGTGCCCTTTGAATGACAGAGTACAATAACTTCAAAATTCACTACTTTTCGAGACAATTTTATAAATATATTTTGATATATTATTTTCCATAGCAAAACTTACAGTAAACTTCCTTTTTAAGCCAGAGGGCTGACATCCAAGAGATCGGCCAGAGGATATAAATGTCCTTGAATTTAACTCTGGTGCTTCTTTATTGACATTCTGCTTAACAATACCTATGGCTCCAGCAACTTTAACCTCTTCAACTGTGATTAAGTATCGATCACTTTCTAAGTCATCTCCAGGTTTCACCTGAAAGAATAAATGTCAAAATCACATACATCTAATTATTTGATTATCTATGTATTCCAGGATGCTCACTAGCACTAAGACACAATGGGTGTTCAATAAATAGGTGTTGAACGAATAAATCAGTAACTAAAGTCTTCAATTATTTATTATTATGTACTCATTAACTATCAATAAGCACAAAAAAGGACAATAATATAATTTTAAAATTTCTCTGATTTGTTTATTCAACAACACATATTAGAGCTAGGCGTGGTAGCTCACACCCGTAATCGCAAGACTTTGGGAGACCAAGGCAAGAGGATTGCTTGAGGCCAAGATTATGAGACCAGCCTGGGCAAAATATTGAGATCCTGTCTCTACAAAAAATTTTTATTTTAAATTAGCCTGGGCTGGATGGGATGGCTTATGCCTGTAATCCCAGCACTAAGGACACCAAGGCAGGGGGATTGCTTGAAGCCAGGAGGTCAAGACCACCCTAGTCAACATAGCAAGACCCTGTCTCTACAAAAAACTTTTAAAAAAATTAGCCATGCATGGTGGCATGCACCTATAGTCCCAGCTATTTGGGGGGAATGAGGTGGGAGGATGATTTCAGACTAGGAGGTCAAGGCTGCAGTGAGCAGTTTTCACACCACTGCTCTCTAGCCTAGGTGACAGAGTGAGACCCTGTCTCAAAAAAAAAAAAAAAAAAATTAGCCAGGCATGGTGGCATGTTCCTACAGTCTCAGCTACTTGAAAGGCTGAGGTGGAAGGATCCCTTGAGCCCAGGAGTTTGAGGCTGTAGTAAGCTATGATCACACTGCCATACTCCAACCTGGATGACAGAGTGAGACAATGTCTCTAAAAACAAAATTAAATTAGTAAATAAATATTACATACTGGGGACCTATATAAGGCCCCTTGTTACATGCTAGGGATACAAAGACAAACAAGAACAAAATGCCCCCTCCCAAGCAATTCACTTAGAATCCATACAACTAAGTGTAACTTTTCAAAAATTAGAGTTATTACCAACTATATATCTTTAAATGAATAAGATACTCATAATTATCACAAATTAAACATTATTATAAATCATTAGTTGCTTAATCATATTCCAAAAATGCATTTTAATCATGTTAATGAGCAAATGTAGTACTTGCCACCACCTCTGACTGCAGCATAAAAATAAGATTATCACCAGACGCAGTGGCTCACACCTGTAATCCTAGCACTTTGGGAGGCCGAGGTGGGCGGATCACCTGAGGTTGGGAGTTTGAGACCAGCCTGACCAACATGGTGAAACCCCGTCTCTACTAAAAATACAAAACAAATTAGCCGGGTGTGGTGGTGCATGCCTGTAATCCCAGCCACTCGGGAGGCTGAGGCAGGAGAATCACTTGAACCCGGGAGGCAGAGGTTGCGGTGAGGTGAGATCGCGCTATTGCACTCTAGCCTGGGCAACAAGAGCAAAACTCCATCTCAAAAAAAAAAAAAAATTATCAGCTGAATTTGAAAATATACAAACTCTATATCAGATTAATATTTTACTAATGAAATGATTTTTTTTTCTTTGAGATGGAGTTTCGCTCTTGTTGCCCAGTCTGGAGTGCAACAGCGCAATCTCGGCTCACCGAACCTCCGCCTCCCAGGTTCAAGCGATTCTCCTACCTCAGCCTCCCAAGCAGCTGGGATTGCAGGCATGCACCACCACGTCCAGCTAATTTTTTGTATGTTTAGTAGAGAAGAGGTTTCTCCATGTTGGTCAGGCTGGTCTTGAACTCCTGACCTCAGGTGATCCGCCTGCCTCGGCCTCCCAAAGTGCTGGGATTACAGGCGTGAGCCACCGCGCCTGGCCTGAAATGATTTTTAAGATGAAATAATAGTAGTTACCACCAATCAGACCATATACTAAGATACTGATTCTCCTAGACCCTTTTAAAAATATATAAAAGTAACATAACCACTACTGATGTCATGTAAAATTTCAAAATGAATATTATGGCCAAAAATCAACATCGTCATCATCATAGTATGCATTTTAACACATTTAGAATCACTGTACTAGACTATGTGCGGTGGCTCATGCCTGTAATCCCAGCACTTTAGGAGGCCAAGGCACGTGGATCACTTGAGGTCAGGAGTTCAAGACCAGCCTGGCCAACATGGTGAAACCCCATCTCTACTAAAAATACAAAAAATTAGCTGGGCATGGTGGCGCACGCCTGTAATCTCAGCTACTTGGGAGGCTGAGGAAGGAGAATTGCTTGAACCCAGGAGGCAGAGGCTGCAGTGAGCCAAGATTATGCCACCATACTCCAGCCTGGGCAACAGAGGGAGACTCCATCTCGAAAAAAAAAAAAAAAAAAAAGACTCACTGTACTAACTAAAACTGCTAGGCACTTTACAGAAATTATTTCTAACCTTCAGACCGACCCTGTAAAATCTGTCTGTGATCTACATTTTACATCAGAGAAGTTAGACATAGAGAGTTTAGGTGGGCCAGGAAGTATTTAGAACTGGGAAATGAACCCAGAATGACCAACTTTAATATCCTAACTCTTCACTAAAATATGCCTTTAGTTCTCTTTCCATGCTTTTTCCTCTTTGAGAGGAAAAACACAAACTATGTATTTGACAGAATATTTATGTATTTATTTTTAACCTTTAAGTTCAGGAGTACATGTGCAGGTTTGTTATATAGGTAAACCCGTGTCATGGCGGTTTATTATACAGATTATTTCATCACCCAAGTATTAAGTCTAGTACCCATTATTTTTCCTGATCCTCTTCCTCCTCCTACCCTCTCTCCGTTTCTCAGTAGGCTTCAATGTCTGTTGTTCCCGTTTGTCCATGCATTCTCATCATTTAGCTCCCACTTACATGTAAGAACATGTAATATTTGGTTCCCACTTACATGTGAGAACATGTAATATTTGGTTTTCTATGTCCCTGCATTAGTTTGCTAAGGATAATGACCTCCAGCTCCATCCATATTCCTGCAAAAGAACATGATCTCATTCTTTTTTATGGCTGTATAATATTTCATGGTGTATTTCTATCTCATTTTCTTTATCCAGTCTATCACTGATAGGCATTTAGGCTGATTCCATGTCTTTGCTATTGTGAATAGTGCTACAATGAACATACACATACATGTGTCTTTATGGTAGAACAACTTATATTCCTTTGGGTATATACCCAGTTATAGTACTCCTGGGTTGAATGGTAGTTCTCTTTTTGGTGAGAGAATATTATACTTAAATGAGAATATGTCACAAAAAATTTCCCACAGTAGACCTCTGCCTATGAAAAAATCATGTAGTAGAATTAGACTCTAGAATCACCTCCTAGGATCAAATTTCAGCCTTCCTACCACTGTTACTCTATGAACATAAGCAAGTTACTTAACCTTTCTGCACTGCACTCCTAATCTATAAAAATCAGGTTTTTTTTAGATCATAAAAAATCAGTTGTAGAGATTAAAGGAAACAATATCTAAAAGGTTTTAGCACAAAGTCTAGCTATAATGTTCAACAAATACTATTAGTATTAATATTATGACTACACTAACAATATTCATAAAGGAGGTATTTAAAGAGATTTTTAAATAATAACTTAAAAATAAGATAAACACACTAAAATACCTCAAGGCATTTAAGAAACAGACTCTCCAAACATGCTCCTTTGTCATCATATAAAATTGCCTGTATGAAAACAAAATAAATGTTAAAAAGGAACAACACAATTATGCTTTTCTTAAACTTCTTCAAGAGGAAATAAGTAATTGTTATATAAGTAATCATATAATGAAAGGATTACATTTGTTGAACTTGGATTTGAAAATTCATCTATTTTGAATGTTTATTATGCATCAGTCTGTTTAAGAGAGTAAAGGCATACATAAAAGAAATTCGGGCAACCCGCTCGGGTCCCCTTCCACGCTGTGGAAGCTTTGTTCTTTCGCTCTTCGCAATAAATCTTGCTACTGCTCAAAAAAAAAAAAAAAAGGAATTCAAGAACTTAATTCCTACCAGGAGGATATTAGAATGAAACTGGGAAGAGGCTGGGCATGGTGGTTCATGCCTGTAATCCCAGCATTTTCGGAGGCCAAAGCAGGTGGATCACTTGAGGTCTAGACCAGCCTGGCCAACATGGCAAAACCCCATCTCTACTAAAAATACAGGCTGAGGCAGGAGAATTGCTTGAACCCAGGTGACAGGGTTGCAGTGAGCTGAGATCACGCCACTGCATTCCAGCCTAGGCAACAGAGTGAGACTCCATCTCAATTAAAAAAAAAAAAATTGGGAAGAAATTATAATTGAAACACATTAAAGGGGACAAACAGGAGACAAGATCATTTTAAGAGATTATTGCAATGGGATGGTATACAGGATGAAGGAGATGATTAGCACTTAAGATATTGACATTTGGGAGGATAAGATAATTATTTATGAGGTATAATGAATAAAACTTGTTAAATGTGAGGGGTAAGGGGGGAAAAAGGATGCTAAGGTGATTACCATTTTCTAGCTTTTCCCTTATGTCTGTAGCCCTTTTTCATAGCAATTTTTCCACTAGCCCTTTTAATATTGGTGTTTCCATCACTTTGGAAAACAGTTTGGCAATTCCTTGAAAGATTAAAGTTCCCACATGACCCAGCAATTCCACTCCTAGGTATATACCCAACAGAAATAAAAACATATATCTATACAAAAACTTGCACATTAATGCTCATAGCAGCATTATTCATAATAGCCAAAAAGTTGAAGTAACCCAAAGGTATATCAACTGTATTATGAATGGATAAATAAAACATGACGTATTGGGCTTGGTACACGGCTCATGGTGTTAAACCCAGATACTCCAGGTACTCTGCAGGCTGAGATGCAAGGATTATCTGAGACCAGAGGTTCAAGATCAATCCAGGGAACGAAGCAAGACTCTATCTCTAAAAAATTTTTTTTATTAGCCAGACATGGTGGTGCAAGCCTAAGTAGTCCCAACTACTTCGGAAGCTAAGGCGGAAGGATTGTTTGAGCCTAAGGGTTTGAGGCTACAGTGAACTATGATTGCACCACTGCAATCCAGCCTGGGTGACAGAGCAAGACCCTGTCTATTTAAAAAAAGAAAATCGCCAGGCGCGGTGGCTCAAGCCTGTAATCCCAGCACTTTGGGAGGCCGAGGCGGCGGATCACGAGGTCAGGAGATCGAGACCATCCTGCTAACACGGTGAAACCCCATCTCTACTAAAAATACAAAAAAATTAGCCGGGCGCGGTGGCAGGCGCCTGTAGTCCCAGCTATTCGGGAGGCTGAGGCAGGAGAATGGCGTGAAACCCGGGAGGCGGAGCTTGCAGTAAGCCGAGATCGCGCCACTGCACTCCAGCCTGGGCGACAGAGCGAGATTCCGTCTCAAAAAAAAAAAAAAAAGAAAAGAAAATCATGCCAGGCGTGGTGGCTCACGTCTGTAATCCCAGCACTTTGGGAGGCTGAGGCGGGCAGATCACCTGAGGTCAGGAGTTCGAGACCAGCCTGACCAACACGGAGAAACCCCGTCTCTACTAAAATACAAAATTAGCCAGCCTTGGTGGCACATGCCTGTAATCCCAGCTACTCAGGAGGCTGAGGCAGGAGAATCGCTTGAACTGGGGAGGTGGATGTTTTGGTGAGCTGAGAACACGCCATTGCACTCCAGCCTGGGCAACAAGAACGAAACTCCGTCTCAAAAAAAAAAAAAAGTTATATGGCAATAAAAAATAAAATATATATGAAGATACATGCTTCAACATGGAAGAACCCTGAAAATATTATGCTAAATAAGACTTATTCACAAAAGACTACTTATTATATAATTTCATTGATGCAAAAATGTCCAGAATAGGTAAATCTAGAGACAGTAAGTAGATTTGTGTTTGCATAGGGCTGGGGGCTGGGTACTGAGTAGTAATTGCCAATGAGTATGAGATTTCTTTTGGTGGTGACAAAAATATGCCAAATTTAAATTGTGCTAATGGCTGCAAAACTGTGAAAATACTAAAAATCACTGAACGGGTGAATCGAAAAGTGTGTGAAGTGTGAATTATATCTCAATAAAGCTGTTAAAAAAATGGTATTCTTGTCCCTCTTTTAATTTGATACACCCTCCCTGAGCACTATCATCCATATAAATCAGATCATGTTATGCTCCTGCTCAAATCATTCCCATGTCTCTACAGCTCCTAAGAATAACAAAAGTTCTTTCCATAGCCAGTGAGGCTTATATAATCCCCTTTATCTCCATTCTCGCCCTTGCTCACTCTGTTCCAACCACACTAATGTCCTTGTTATTGCCTTTCACTAGACATACATATGCATTTAATTTAGTGGTCTGTCTCCTCCACGTTATTTCCATGAAGTCAGGGATTTATTTGTTTTGTTCCCTGCTGTATTTCTTAGAACAGTGTGCAACTCACTCGGATGCCCAAAAAATATTTGTTGAACAAATGAATCCACTCCAATAGTTTCAAATACCATCTAAAAGCCAAGGACTTCCAATCTATACTAGTAGTCAGGAACTCCTTCCAGAGATCTGGGTCTCTACAGCTAATTACGTGAGTGCTTCTGTGATACTTCAAATTTATTTATTTATTTATTTATTTATTTTTCTTTTTTTGAGACTGAGTCTTGCTCTATTGCTCAAGCTACAGTGCAGTGGCATGATCTCAGATCACTGCAACCTCCACCTCCCAGATTCAAGCGATTCTTGGGCCTCAATCTCTTGAGTAGCTGGAATTACAAGCACCCGCCACCATGCCTGGCTCATTTTTATATTTTTAGTAGAGACGGGGTTTCACCACGTTAACCAGGCTGGCCTGGTCTCAAACTCCTGACCTCAAGTGATCTGCCCATCTTGGCCTCCCAAAGTACTAGGATTACAGGCATGAGCCACCGCGCCCAGCCTCAAATTTATTATGTTCAAAATGGAACTAAAAATCTTGATTGTTCCCATTCACTTATTTTTCTTTTTGAAATACTTCATTTTGGGAAATAAATACACAAACCTAAAAGTCATTCTGGATCCTCTTCTCACCTTCTATATCCAAGATCTAAGAGGCTATGCTTTCATAATTTCTCTATAATCATTCTTTTTCTCCATTGCCATTGCAAATGCCTGCTTGGTCAGACCTCCATTAATTTTTGTCTAGATTATTCTACAGCCTCTACTATAAGTCTCTGAAATCCAATCTGACTTTCATCCTACACAACTTTTACACTGCTGCCAAACCAATCTTTCTAAAATACAAATATAGCCGGGCACGGTGGCTCATGTCTGTAATCCCAGCACTTTAAGAGGCCGAGGCGGGTGGATCATCTGAGGTCGAGAGTTTGAGACCAACCTGGCCAACATGGTGAAACCCGTCTCTACCAAAAATACAAAAATTAGCCAAGTGTGGTGGCACATGCTTGTAATCCCAGCTACTCAGGAGGCTGAGGCCCAAGAATCACTTGTGCCCAGGAGGCAGAGGCTGTAGTGAGCCGAGATCGTGCCACTGCACTCCAGCCTGGGTGACAGTGGAAGACTTCTACTCAAAAAAATAGAATAAAATAAAATACAAATATGATATGTCACTCTTCTTCTCATAATTCTTCATTAGCTCCTGGGGCTGAGCATACAAAATTCTTCATGATATTGTTCCTGTCTACCACTTTAGCTTTATACTGCATCATTTCCCAATATGGGGCCTTCATTTCAGCTATATTTAAATGCTTATAGTTCCCCACATTTCGTATCATTTCATACATTCATGTTGTTGGGACTAGGATACAATCTTCAGCTCCCTTCCCCCTAACTTAGCAATTTTGTTTACAAAACAGAACAAAAAATATATATATATGCTTCATCTGGAAAGACTTCTCTGAACCAGAGACAGATCTAAATGTCTCTACCTTGTAATCTCATAGAATCCTAAACAAACATATTATGATCCTTATGCCCTTAGTCAAAAATTAGATAAAAGTCCCTTGAAGACAAGAATTCTAATAACAAACTACCATTCATTGCGTGCTCAGGATGTGGCAGGTACTTCGTTAAGGTCTTTACGTGTTACTTATTTTAATCCTTAAGACAACTTTATGAAGCATCATTTTCCCCATTTTACAAAGAAAGAACAGAGGCACTGAGATTACTCCCCCAAAATTATACATCTAATAAGAGAAGAGCCAGAATTGAAACTGAGGTCTACTTGACATTTGATGCTAACTGCTCTTCTACTCTGCATCCACCTATTTGACTTTTCCCACTGTCTACCAGTAATATGTTGGTTGGTTGATGACTTATTCAGTGGAAGATGAATAACTTTGACAGAATTTAGATAGAGAAAAGGCATAACTAGCAAGAGAAGAATATAAGCAATAGCCTGCATTTAAGATTGAGGGCGTTATTTAGGAAACAGTGAGATAATTAACTTGCCTGGAACATAGAAACTTTCAGGGACTAACTTGAATCTATCTTGTTTTCCTATAACCTACTTGTGTGAGATATATAATGGGCACTCAACAAATGTATGCTATAGTTGAAGATAAAGTTGGATAATAGCACTAGCATGACCATAATAATTTGGAACCAGAAGACAACACAAAGGATATGCAGAATCCAATCAGATGGCTTTTAAATATCTACAAGATTTTAAAGACACTGGATCTAAAGAAAAAGGCAGAATATAAAAGAAAAAGTTATATAGAATAGCATCAGACACTGAATGAATTAGTTTATGTATTTAAAAAAAATATGGATATGCAAAGACCTGAATATTCATCTATTTAAATTAGAAGAATTAATCACATGACTTGAACATAGCGATATTAACTATGAGACCACCACCTTTAAAGAGCATAGACTTGGAGATCCTGTTGTTACTACAATTAAACACAAGGCTCGACATGTCCCTTGGTGATGGTGTTCAAGTTATCCTGATTATCTATAGCCCTGGGTCTCAAATTTCAATCCAAAATCTTATTAGCAGCCTCAGTTCATTGATATGATAACTCCAGTTTACTTGGGTAACAAGTTTTTTACTCAACGTGAAAGTACCCTGTAACTCCTGAAACATTTAGAACTGGATATAGAGATAATGAAGTAATTCGAAACAAAAATATCAATACTTTTGAATTATGATCATGAACAGATTTTAGTTATTGGCCAATCTGACATTAGGTAATCCGATATTTAAAATATTTGAGCCAGGCGCGGTGGCTTATGCCTGTAATCCCAATACTTTGGGAGGCCAAGGCAGGCAGACGGCTTGAGCTCAGGAGTTTGAGACCAGCCTGGCCAACATGGTGAAACCCTGTCTCTACAAAAAATGTAAAAATTGCCAGGTGAGGTGGTGTGTGCCTGTGGTTCCAGCTACTTGGGATGCTGAGGTGGGAGGATCACTTGAGCCTAGGAGGTGGAGGTTGCAGAGAGCAGAGATTGCACCGCTGCACTCCAGCCTGAGTGACAGAGTTAGTTCTGTCTCAAAAGACAAACAAACAAAAAAAAACTAATAAAATATTTGTGTTATTTTTAATTTTAAAAAGCTACTTTTGCCAGGCACAGTGGCTCATACCTGTAATACCAGCACTTTAGGAGGCTGAGGTGGGTGGATCACTTGAGGTCAGGAGTTTGAGACCAGCCTGGCCAACATGGTGAAACCCCATCTCTACTAAAAACACAAAAATTAGCCAGGCATGGTGGTGGGCGCTTGTAATCCCAGCTACTCAGGAGGCTGAGGCAGGATAATCACTTGAACCTTGGATGCAGAGGTTGTAGTGAGCCAAGACTGTGCCACTGCACTCCAGCCTGGGCAACAGAGCAAGACTCTGTCTAAAAAAAGAAAAAAAAAAAGCACTTAGTTTTTTCAACTTAAGTTGCTTGAACATTAAGCTAAAACCCTACTGAAAGTAACTGTTTAACTTAACTAGGTTTACAAATTTAATAGGATTACATAAATTGAACTTGAAGGCTTAAGGCAAAATTAGTTTTTTAATTTGCTGTTTTAACAAATTAAATATTAAGAAATAGTAGGGCCAGGCGCAGTGGCTCAGGCCAGGCGCAGTGGCTCACGCCTGTAATCCCAGCACTTTGGGAGGCCTAGGGAGGTGGATTACCTGAAGTCAGGAGTTCAAGACCAGCCTGACCAACATGGTGAAACTCCGTGTCTATTAAAAATACAAAAAGTAGCTGAGCATGGTTGCAAGTGCCTGTAATCTCAGCTACTCAGGAGGCTGAGGCAGGAGAATCACCTGAACCTGGGAGGCAGAGGCTTCAGGGAGCCGAGATTGTGCCACTGCACTCCAGCCTGGGCGACAAGAGCAAAAATCCATCTCAAAAAAAAAGAACAGAATATGGTTATCTTTAATTGCTAGACTGAGGAGTAGGGACTTCATTCAGGAGGCCACAGACATTGTCAATGTGTCCTATATAAAATTAGTGACTCAACTGTAATAAAGTTCTTTTTTAAAATTAGTAATATTTGGATCACCTGAGGTCAGGAGTTCAAGACCAGCCTGAACAACATGGCGAAACCGTCTCTACTAAAAATACAAAAAATTAGCCGGGCGTGGTGGTGGCACCTGTAGTCCCAGCTACTTGGGGGGCTGAGGCAGAACTGCTTGAACGTGGGAGGCGGAGGCTGCAGTGAGCCGAGATCATGCCACTGCACTCCAACCCGGGCAACAGAGTGAGATTCTGGCTCAAAAAAAAAAAAAAAGAGACGCAGTAGAATGGAGAATGGTTAGGACATGGGCCCTGGGGACAAAAAGCCTAGGTTCATATGTGGCTCCTCCACCTTCCAGCTTTGACCCTTGGGCAAGCTACTCCATCTCTCTGTACCCCAGTTTCATCTTCAGTAAAATAAAGATTAAAAGAATACCTAACTAGTAGGAGAGTTATGCAGACTAAGTAAGTTGATACTTTTAAAGCATTATGCCTAGCATATAATAAGCAGTTTATAACTTTTTAAAAACTTTTTTATTTACTTTTAATTTTTTTGTAGAGACAGAGTCTTGCTTCGCTGCCCAGGCTGGTCTTGAACTCCAGGCTTCAAGCAATCTTCCTGCCTCAGCCTCCCAACGTGGTGGGATTACAGGTATGAGCCATGATGCCTGGCCTTATCATTTATGTTAGGAGCATTCCAATTCCACTCCTGGAGTTATTTTAAAAATATACAAAAAATTATCATTAACAATAGTCACTCAGCCGGGGGCAGTGGCTCACTCCTGTAATCCCAGCACTTTGGGAGGCTGAGGCAGGCAGCTCACCTGAGGTCAGGAGTTCGAGACAAGCCTGGGAAACATGGTGAAACCCCGTCTCTACTAAAAATACAAAAAAATTAGTCAGGCATGGTGTCGGGTGCCTGTAGTCCCAGCTACTTGGGAGGCTGAGGCAGGAGAATCGTTTGAACCCGGGAGGCAGAGTTTGCAGTGAGCCGAGATCGTGCCACTGCACCCCAGCCTGGGTGACAGAGTAAGACTCTGTCTCAAAAAAAATAAAAATAAATAACAATAGTTACTGTACTGTGCTACTGGATAACAGATCTTATTCGTTCTATCTATTAATGAACTATTTTTATAACGCACAAATTAACCACTGTGATATGGGGATCATTTGAAAATCTGTTTTCACATCATTTCAGTGTATGGATATATCTGACATTTTATCATGTACAGTTTTTTAAATATTCAATCAAAAATCGAGAACCTTGCTCTTGCACCCTATAGTCAACTGCTTTGTACTCACTTTGTTTCCTAAGTGAGTGATCTTCAGAATTCCATCTTGCCACACTTTTGACTTCTTCATCTTTTGATGAGTATATAGAACCTTATTTCCAAAAATACAAAAGAAATGGTTTCCATTTATATATATTTAATGTTATGTATTTTATATATCCTTCCTACATACAAAATATATTTAAGGCACCTTTCATCAAAAAAAGGCACATACACCCATATCAATTTTTTAAATTTTAAAAACAAAAGCACAGATAGCATGACAATAACATTAAATATTAATTAAATGAAATAAATAAGGGAAGGAAGGGAGAGAGAGAAGGAGAGGGAGGGAATAGGGGAGGAAATGGCAGGAGAAGGAAGAAAGGAGAGGAGAAATCCAAGGAAGAAACAAAAAAGATAAATGAGCATTGAAAGTAATTTGAGCTCCCTAGTCATCAATTGGAAGGGAAAAAAATTACTGGATTACACAGTACTAATAATCTGTGCAGTTCTCAAAGTTTGGTCCAGAGACTCCTGGAGGTCTCCAAGACCTTTACAGGTATCTGTGAGGTCAAAACTATTTTCATGATGCTGTCTTTTCATCCTCACTCCTTCAGGGGTGCAGAATGAAGTTTCCCAGGATTATGTATATGCAATATTGTAAGATTCAATTGCAATCTGAATGTAGAAGAAACAAATATGAGAATCCAGTTGTCTTCCATTAAGCCAAATCATAAATACTTTTTACATTTCTGCTTTAACTTCTAATATGAAAAACATCAATAGACGTAAGACCCTATATACACAAGTTATTTGGGGTCAATAATTTTCTAAGTGTTAAAGAGTCCCGAGACCAAATAGTGTGAGAACTGCTGATCTATACAGAAGACGGATGCCAGTTCTTCAAGAGAAAGAAATTGTTTCCCGGTCTCACACTTTCAAAGATTATGTTACAAAGGACTTTGTCTAATACTTGATCTTAGCCAAAAGGCTGAAAAGTGATGATTTTGTGTAACAAATATGAATAGTAGGTAACAGATAGGGTTACCAGATAAAATACTGTGCAATATTTGGGATCCTAATGCTAAAAAAGGTATGCATTGTTTATTTGAAATTCAAATTTAACTGAGTAGCCTGTTTTTTGTTTTGTTTTTGCTAAATCTGGCAACACAGCAAGATGTTTGTGAAACGCCTTTAAAAGAAAGAGACAGAGGAAGGGAATTTCACCAAACTGTGAAAAATGGTAAAACTTACAATAAATTCTTGGCTTTCCATTATTTCTTCTGAAGTTATAAACCAGCTGGGTCCAGAAAATAGGAAATATTCAACTATTTATACCACCTAAAATTAAAAATGACATAAAATTTCAACCCTGATTTTTAAAAAATATCAAATATAATTTTTCTCAATAAACTCCCAACCACAGACATGAATCAAGGAGTTCCAAGATTACCTAACTACCAAGGGAAACAGAGGTGTAATTATCTATCACTGAGGACACAGTAAAAGTGATACCATGCTGTGAAACAAGCATTTTTTCATAAGTAAAGAAAAAACTAAGTAAAATACATAAATTAACTTGTAGTCTGCATTTTTCCAGATGCATAATATGTATCAGAAAACACGAATTTGTCCTCCACATGTTTGGTTCCCTATAGCGCAAATTCAATTTTTAAAGTTTTCTGAATTGCTACGGTTACCACAAGATGGCCCCCTTGTGTTTTAAATTTTTCCTTTCACTTCTTAGCATCAATATACCACAGTATCTAGGACCAATTACATAGTACCTCTACAAGGAAAAATCTTTCCAACACTGTTGCAACAGTTACTGTAGTTGTTATGCTATTGGATAAAACTGTTTTTGTGGGCAAATTTGGAAATCTAAAATCACTGATGGTGATCCCTGAAGAAGTAAACAGAAATGCCAAAGAAACATACTTTCTTTTTTTTCCCCTAAGGTGGTTCTCAAGATGTGACCCCTGGACCAACAGTATCATCTGGGAACTAGTAAGAAATGACCTATTAAGTCAGAAAGTCTGGGGTTGGGGGCCCAGCAGTCTGTGTTTTAAGAAGCCCTCCAAGTGATGCTGATGGACACTCAAGTTTGAGAATACAGATCTAAAAGACCTAGAAGGATTCAATAAAGCTGTAATTGTGATTTCAGTTCCTCTTTTAGACATATAAAATATGCCACTTACATATTATTTATAAGTTACATATATTTATTCAGTACTTACTATTGTGCCAGATATTATGCTAAAGTATTTAAATGGAAACTCTATCCTCCATCTGAAGGAATTTCAGTATGGCGGGGTGATAAACAGTAATTTTAATAAAATAAGGCAGGAATAAGCACAGCAGGGGCACCCAGCTTGGTGTGGATCATCAAACAAGGCTTCTTCAAGGAAGTAAAGTCTAAGCTGTAAGCTGAAATAACCCTTAGTCAAGGGAAGGCCAGTGAAGGTCTTCCCAAACAAGAATTGCAGGCCTGTGATCCCAGCACTTTGGGAGGCCGAGACAGGTGGATCACCTGAGGTCAGGAGTTCGAGACCAGCCTGGCCAACATGGTGAAACCCCTGTCTCTACTAAAAATACAAAAATTAGCCAGGTGTGGTGGTGCGTGCCTATAATCCCAGCTACTTGGGAGGCTGAGGCAGGAGAATCACTTGAACCCAGGAGGCAGAGGCTGCAGTGAGCCGAGATCACGCCACTGCACTCCAGCCTGGGCGACAAGAGCAAAACTGTCTCAAAAAAAAAAAATAAAAGGGCGAGGCGGGGGCGGTGAAGTGCAAGAAAGTGACTGGCATCTTCCCTTGACTAATCAAGGTGATCTGGAGAAAGAATAGGTAAGGGGTATGCAAATGAGATATGCATACTTGCTTCGTGACACAGGTCACAGGACAGAAACCAAACCTACAGAAGGACTGCCTTTCAGAAATATAACTCCTGGCCGGGTGTGGTGACTCACGCCTGTAATCCCAGCACTCTGGGAGGCCATGGCGGGTGGATCATGAGGTCAGGCGCTCGAGACCAGCCTGACCAACATGGTGAAACCCCGTCTCTACTAAAAATACAAAAATTAGCTGGGCATGGTGGCACAGGCCTGTAGTCCCAGCTACTCAGGAGGCTGAGGCAGGAGAATTGCTTGAACCCGGGAGGCGGAGGTTGCAGTGAGCAGAGATCACGCCACTGCACTCCAGCCTGGGCGACAGAGCGAGACTCCATCTCAAAAAAAAAAAAAAAAAAGAAATACAACTTCCACATCCTATCTCCCTCCCCTCCGGCGTACATAAATTGCTGATGCCTAAGAATGCCAAGAAGATAAAAGAGAGATCGAGAAAAACACTCCTGGGCTAGATATGCTGTATACATAGATGAGAATACATGGTACAGACACAGTGCTGGGCATGTGGCAATTATTAATATCAGATCTGTTTAATAGCTACCATTTATTCAGTGCTACCATATGCTAGAAACTGTTAAATGCTTTATTTGGAGGTTTTGTTTCTGTTGGCTTTTTAACTTTTCTTTTTCTTTTACAGAGACAGGGTCTCACTCTGTCACCTAGGCTGGAGTGCAGTGTTGCAATCATAGCTCGCTGTGGCCTCAAACTCCTGGGCTCAAGCAATCCTTCCAGCCTCCCAAAGTGCTATATTATAAACATTATATACATTATATTGTTAATTATATACATTATAATTATTATGTAATTATATAATATATAACTATATTACTGTATTATGTAATATACAATTATATGATTATCGTGTGTAATTATATATATTTATTGATTACATACTATGTATCAGGCAGGAATTGGACGAGATACTTTACATACAGTATTTATCAGTCTCATAATCCTGAAGAATAAGCATTATTACAATTTACAGATTAGGAACCCAGTATTTACTAGTTTAGGATAACTTATATGCTATTTCACAATTGCAAGATAAATTCTCCATTATTTTCCTAAATTGAGATATTACTTCTGGAATGTACAGTTTAAAAAGAACTAAGAAGACTGAAACTCTTAAAGGATGGTTAAATTCGATTATAGGAGAAAACCTAAAAAAAAAAAGCTAACTGGATCTTTTAAAATTTAGAAGAGCTCTAATACTTATTCATTGAAAGTCAACACCCTTTCTTATCTTAGTATTAATCAGAAAAAATTATTTTAGACAACAGCATCATATATATTTAAGTGAGATGCAAAGAGTTTTTTCCAAGTGTTCATCTGTCCACGTCTACCAGACAATTCACCTGTTGACCGACTTCTAATAGGTGAAAGATTAATCTCCAAATAAGTTTTTAAAGACCCCAGATGCTCTGTGATAATTATATACATACATACATACACACAGATATACGTACATACACACATATACATACATATACATTGTGCTACTATATGTACGGACGCAATATATATACATAAAACTCGGTGTTCTCAGTAAAGTATGAGCCATTATTCATTTAAATACTAGATATTTTTCCTTTTTTTTTAAACAAGGAGTATTTTTTGAACCTAAACCTGAACCTCTAAATAGTTCGGATAACAAAGTTTTGGAATCATGAACTCAACATTGTTAACAAACCATCCAGTCCAAATAAACAAAGGAAACCCACATCTCATTTGCCAAGATTCTAAGAACCATAATCCTGTCACCAAATGACAATGGAGACTTGATCCTTTCTCAGTCCTAAATACAAACAGCAAAGCCCTCTTTGGTCCTCATACCTACTCGAAATTGCAAAGCAAGGCCTGGGAAAAACGGTGAAGAGGCACCACTTACTACAAGCAGTCCGAGTAGCTGTGACTGCGACCACCCCAATCCTGGTTCCAAACAGCATCCTTCCCGGTTCTCTTCTTAAGGAGCAGAGTCTTTCGTCCCTTCGCCCCAAATCGCTCAAGTCATTCCTAGGAAATCCCGAGAAACACTTCACCTCACCTGTCAAATTGCACAAAATCCACTTTCGAATTTCTCCCGCGAAACAACGTGACGTCATTAACGCGGGACCTCACCAGATGAGGACCCAAAACTTGGCCCGCCCACCTCCGCCTAAGCCAAAAACCGCCGCTTTCAAATCGCCAATCAAATTCTTCCTTGGCTTCGAGTCTCTCAGCCGGCCGCGCTCTCCGATGCCCAGCCCTCCTGGAACCACCTCGCCTGTGACGTAGGTGGAGCGCGCACTGCCTCCGGGCCCGTCTTTCTCAATTGGGACCGGAAAACGTTGTCGCTCATCCTATGACGCGAAAGTAACCGAGACTATCAGGATCCGGAGACGGAAATGTCCGAAGGCCGCAGTACTTGACCCTGTATTTTGGGAGTCGAACGGAGTAAGTTACAAGCGGCCTATAGGGTCGCACAGCTTGGGCGAAGTCTAATTAACTCTCCGTCCTTTTTCTTGCGGTCCACTCTATCATCTATCGTCCTTCTTACCCCGCCCCCCCGTCCTGCACACCCATCAGTTCCTTGGCCTAGTTATCTATGCGCACGCGCAAAAGTCTTCGGCAGCACTTGTAGTTCCCGTTTTCAGACAGTAAGGGCGCATAGGGGCCCGGCGTGGGGAGGTTTGGGGCGCGCCCGGCCTATGACGGCGTCCTTGCGGAAGTACGGGTGCCGAGAGAAGCAGTAGTCAATAAAGAGAGTGCCGTATTTCGCAGATTGGAGCTGAGCTGTGGCTGCCAGAAGATAGCGAACGTGAGGATTTATATTCTAAAATTATCATCTTCTTTTGCAGGACTCTGCCATCGTCCTCAAAGAGTAAAAAATCCAGTTACGGAAGGGAACTAACACTTGCTAGATATGGTGTGCAGAGTGCGTTTGCAAAGAAACTTAAGAGAAAACAAATGATAGGACACAGGGTGGTGGAAGATCTCAAAGAGTAAGATGCCATTTAACCTGGGCCTTGAAAATTTAATAAGGAAATTTAGACGAGAAGATTCAGACAAAGCAGAACACACAGGCCACTACGTGTTGAGGGACTTGAGTTGTAAGCAGTGACCAGAACAATGATTCTTAACCTGTTGTGGCACACTTCTTTTGAAAACTTAATTATATGGATTAGCTTCTCAGGAAAACGTGCATGTACCTATTAAAACATTTTGCGAGGCTGGGCACGGTGGCTCACGCCTGTAATCCCAGCACTTTGGGAGGCCGACGCGGGAGGATCACTTGAGGTCAGGAGTTCGAGACCAGCCTGGCCAATATGGCAAAATCTCGTCTCTACTAAAAACACAAAAATTAGCGGGGAGTGGTGGTGCACACCTGTAGTCCCAGCTACTCAAGAGGCTTGGTTGGGAGAATCGCTTGAACTCGGGAAGCAGAGATTACAGTGAGCCGGGATCGCGCCACTGCACTGCAGCCTGGGCCACTGAGAGAGGCTGCGTCTCCAAACAAACATTTTTCATATAATTTCCTCAGGAGAAATTACGAAATACTTTTAAATAGCAAACACACACAAATGACTTGGTGTCTTGTCTGACTCACTCTTCCAAGTTATCTATGTCTTTCGTGGTCTTTGAACTATTTTTCAACCCTGTAACTCGCTACAGCAACATGGAAATTAGGTTTGTCCAGTAAAGATGCAATTAATTATTGTCCTGAGCAGTATTTATTAATATTCATTTCAACGTTCCTGATTGCCTGTGTACCTGCTTTTTAAATTCTCCTTTGAACTGGTTTTTAGCACTTAACTGGTTCCCTTATTTACAGTCAAGCACCACATACCGACAGACCGCATGTATGACAGTGGTCCCATAAGATTATAGGTGAGTAATAGGCAATAGTACCTAGGTTTGTGTGAATACATCATAGAATAACTACATACTCAATGATGTACTTACTCACCTGACTGTGCATTTCTCAGAATGTGTCCTTGTCGTTAAGCAACCCATGACTGTGCTTAAATCTTTACCGTGTATTCATTTTATATTTGTACAAGAGTCTTGATTTTACCTTATCTTTAAAATGTATCATTTACAATTTAATGGAGCCCACTAGAATTCTTGTCCAGCCAAAGTTGCATGGACTTCAGATTAAGAATTCCTGAGTCAGAACATAGAGTCCGTGGTGATAAATTGCGGGAAATTCTACCAAAAGGTAGACAATGTGGGATCAAACATACCTGGGACAACTTACTTAGCTAGCTTTGGCCAAGTCACTTAAACCTTTTTGAGTTTTTGTGTTAAGATGGAAGAAACTGCTACCTAGTGGGATTGTGAGGATTTACAAAAGTGTATATAAAGTTACTGGTATTGTTACCCAATAACTTTTATTCTTCATTTAAAGCCAGTTAAATGTTACTTTTTTTTTTTTTTTTTTTGAGACGGAGTCTTGCCCTGCCGCCCAGGTTGGAGTGCAGTGGCACGATCTCGGCTCGCTGCAAGCTCCGCCTCCCGGATTCACACCTTTCTCCTGCCTCAGCCTCCCAAGTAGCTGAGACTACAGGCGCCTGCCACCATGCCCGGCTAATTTTTTTCTTTTCTTTTTTCTTTTTTTGTATTTTTAGTAGAGACGTGGTCTCACCTTGTTAGCCAGGATGGTCTCCATCTCCTGACCTCGTGATCCGCCCGCCTTGGCCTCCCAAAGTGCTGGGATTACAAGCGTGAGCCACCGCGCCTGGCCAAGTGTTACTTTTTTTTTTTAAAACAGTGTTTTCATAAACTGCATATTATGTTACGGGAAGGTGCTAAGGAATTTCTAATGTTGCAAGTTTTGACAGAAGCATCACAAAACCAGGTCTGTGTTTTAGATGGGTTATACATAGGCTCCTGTTGAGAATGGGTGACTTACAGAACAGTTTATAAACTATTGGCATATTCTAGTGACAGTTGTAGCAGTAGTTGTAGAAAACACTGGATGGAGATGAGAGCCATTTCAAAAGTCAAACTGATAGGATTTAACAAGAGATTGGATAGAATAATTGGATAGAATTATTGATAATTGGATAATTATCAATAATTTATAATTATAGATTATCAATTATAGAATTATAATTATCAATTATAGAATAATTGATAATTATAGCCTACGTTTGTGTTTGTTCGTTTTTGAGATGGAGACTGAATCTGTCTCCCAGACTGGAGTGCAGTGGTACGATCTCGAATCACTGCAACCTCTGCCTCCTGGGTTCAAGCGATTCTCCTGCCTCAGCCTCCCGAGTAGCTGGCATTACAGGCATGGGCCACCACACCCAGATAATTTTGTTATTTTTAGTAGAGACTGGGTTTCACTTTGTTGGCCAGGCTGGTCTTGAACTTCTGACCTCAAGTGATACACCTGGCTCGGCCTCCCAAAGTGCTGGGATTATAGGCGTGAACCACTGCACCTGGCCTATTTGTATTTTATTTACATCCCACAACCTTACAAAGAATTTGAAATGCTTAACACTTTACAGGTACTTTTAAATTTGTTTTTTTATTCAACAGATACTTAGGTACTGATGAAGTTAAAGTTCCTGCCTTCATAGTGTCTACATTCTGGTGGGATAGGTAGACAATAAAATTAAAATTCCAGGCCGGCCATGGTAGCTCACACCTGTAATCTCAGCACTTTGAGAGGCCCAAATGGGCAGATCACTTGAGGTCAGGAGTTTGAGACCAGCCTGGCCAAAATGATGAAACCGCATCTCTACTGAAAACAAAAATTAGCAGGGTGTGGTGACAGCTGCCTGTAATCCCAGCTACTTAGGAGGCTGAGGCAGGAGAATCACTTGAACCTGTGAGGCAGAAGTTGTAGTGAGCCAAGATTGTGCCACTGCAGTCCAGGCTGCACAACAGACTCCATCTCAATAAATAATTAAAAATAAAAAATAAAGTTATAATTCCAGGTAGTGACAACAAGATACAAGAATAAAAAATAGTGACTGAGGCAGTGGACGGAGTTAAGGTCAGCAGGGAGGGAATATTTTAGATTGAGCGGAAAGAGGTAAGTCTCTCTAAGAAGTGACATTTGCAGAGACCTAAGTGAACAAGGAAGTAATTCATACAGATACGGTAAGGAAGGTAAAGGGAGCAACAAGGGCAAAGGCCCTGAAGTGGGAATGGCTTTAGCATGTTTAAAGAACGAAAAGATGGTTGTTATGTTTGGACTGAGCCTGTTGGCAAGAATTGTGATAGATGAAATTAGAGAGATCCCCAGGCCAGATTATTTAAGATCCAGTCAACCACAGTAAGGTTTTTGGACTTTATTTTGAGTGTGATAAGAAACCTCTGAGCTGGGCGCGGTGGCTCACACCTGTAATCCTAGCACTTCGGGAGGCCAAGGCAGGCAGATCACCTGAGGTCAGGTGGCCAACATGATGAAACCCCGTCTCTACTAAAAATACAAAAAAAAATTAGCCAGGCGTGGTGGCACATGCCTATAGTCCCAGCTACTTGGGAGTTAAGGCAGGAGAATCTCTTGAACCCAGAGGGGGAGGTTGCAGTGAGCCGAGATCGCGCCACTGCACTCCAGCCTGGGTGACAGAGTGAGACTCCGTCTCAGGGAAAAAAAAAAAAAGAAACCTTTGGAGGAGTTTGTGTAAGGAATTGGCATGATCTGATTTACATATTTAAATGGTAATTCTATCTGGAGAATCGATTATAAGGGAAGAAGATTAGAAGCAGGCAGACTAGTAATAAAGTTCTTGTAGTTGTTCAGACAACGCAGTAGTAGCTTGGACCAGGTGCTTATGATGGAGGAAATGAGAATTATTCATATTTGGGATATATTTTAAAGTTAGAGCTAACAGAAATACTGATGAGTTGACCATGAGGTGTAAGGAAAAGGGAAATTAAGAATGATTTTAAGGCTTTTGCCTTTTCAGCAATTTTGTAATTGGTGTTTCTGAGATAGGGAAAATTGGTGGGAGGGGATTGTTAGCACTAGAGAGTCCTATTTTCACCATGTTAATTTTGAGATATCCTTTAGATAAACTAGTGGAGGTGTCAGGTGGACAGTTGAATATTGGAATGGGGAGCTAATGGGAGAAGATAGATTTGTAAAGCATCAGCATAAAGCCAATGAGCTTAAAGCCAGGATCCTCAGAAAGAATGAGTGTGTAAATGAGAAGGAAGCCCAGGACTGAGTCCAATTTAGGCATCATGTAAAGGTGTAGGGCACAGTGGGAGAGGTAGGGTGAAAGGAAATTGAGAAACTGAGATTGCAAAAGGGAATTGAAAAGGAAGAAGACTCGTTTGGAAGCTATATGAAGAAAATATTTTCAAGGAGGGAGTTACCAACTGCATTTGCTGCTGAGAGGTCAAGTAGACAGTGGAGCACATTGAGGAGCTTGTTTGCAGTTTCTCTAGAATGGTGATGAGGAAAACCTGACAGGATGGGTTGAAGTAAGAGCATGAGGTGAAGAACATGGTTGTGTGGTACTCAATGACACCTCATTGTTTTTCTATTATTAATTCTGACCTATAGTTGTGTTTTATGTCTTAAGCTAGCATCACCTAAATATATCATTACTTGTAAAATTTCAAAATTGGTACTTGATTGATCTACTGAAACCTAAAATGCCAAAATGTACTTCTGTTGAGTTTGATGAGAATGCATGTTTAGTTGGAGATTTGAGGTGAAATGCATTAAGGGCTTTGTACCCTCTTACTGGATATCACTTTGAAACACATTATCTATTTCTGTTACTATCAGCAGCATCACTGTAGCAGTTAGAGATTCTAACCAGCAGTCAGACTCAAGAGATGCAAATACTGCTTACCAAAGAAGAGTCAAGGCAAAAGATAGGGTAGATGCAGCTTCTTCATCCCACCAGAGGCCACCAAGCCATTTACCCATATCTAGCAATTACCCAAATTCACTACTTTTTTCTCCCATTTACCCACAACAGGCATGTATGCCTTCCCTAGATAAGGACCATGGTGTATTTAGGACACTTTGACACGTGAAAGCTTTAACCTCTTTTGCCTATCAATCTGTTGTTCTGGTCACGTAGGCATAAGGCCTCCATGCCATCTAATAGCTGCTCCAAACCAGGTGCAACATGGGAAACAGATACAACACCCCCATTAGTCTCTCCAGTTTCCAAGAAGACTGTATTATAGGAGACTGAGGTTATTCTCAAGCAGCCTGTATTATCCCAGGCCTGATATTAATCCTTTGCTCCTATACCACTAGTGATTCAATTCATTCAACAAAATCGAGGCACAATTTATTCAACACATTTTTAAGTGACTGTATGGCAGGGACTGACAATATATCAGTAAACAAACAAAAATCTCTGATTTCATTGATCTTACCATCTAGGAAGGATAAACAACAAAGAAATAAATTGCATAGTGGTGATAGTAATGTTAGAAGATGATAAATGCTATGAACAAAAATAAGGCAGGGGAGTTACTGTGTATGTATCCAGAAATTTGCATTATTAAATATGATTGTGGGAGGGGACCGCACTGAGGTGACATTTAAATAAACACTTGAAGTAGGAGAGCAAGCTGTGTTATCTCTGGGGATATGTGTTTCAAAGAGAACAGGTTTAAAAGACCCCGTTAGACATTGCTGGGTGAGCTTCAAGAAGTGCAAGGACTGTATGGCTGGAGCTGACAAAGCAAAGGGGAAGAGATACTGAAAGTAACTTGAGGAAGGAGGGGGTTAGAAATTGCTGCCCAAGAAATAAACACTGGGATGAGAAGGCCACTTGAAAAGGCTGATTTATGGCTGGGCGCGGTGGCTCACACCTATAATCCCAGCACTTTGGGAGGCTGAGGCTGGCGAATCACCTGAGGTCAGGAGTTCGAGACCAGCCTGGCCAACATGGTGAAACTCTGTCTCTACTAAAAATACAAAAATTAGCCGGGTGTGATTGGCAGTGGTGCCTGTATTCCCAGCTACTTGGGAGGCTGAGGCAGGGAGAATCGCTTGAACCCAGGAGGCAGAGCTTGCAGTAAGCTGAGATCATGCCACTGCACTCCAGCCTGGGCAACAGAGGAAGACTGCCTCAAAGAAAAGAGAAGAGAAGAAGAAAGAGAAGAGAGAAGAGGCTGATTTCTACAGCTTACCAGTTGAATTCTGCCCCTAGAAAGCAGAAATTAACATTTTAAAAATCAAAATTGCCAGGCGCGGCGGCTCATGTCTGTAATCCTAGCACTTTGGGAGGCGGAGGCGGGCAGATCACCAGGACAGCAATTCAAGACAAACCTGGCAAACATGGTGAAACCCCGTCTCCTACTACAAATACAAAAATTAGCCGGGCATGATGGCATGTGCCTGTAGTCCCAGCTACTTGGGAGACTGAGGCAGGAGAATTGCTTGAACCCGGGAGATGGAGGTTGCAGTCAGCCAAGTTCACGCCACTGCACTCCAGCCTGCACAACAAAAGGGAAACTGTCTCCAAGAAAAAAAAAAAAAGCGAATACAACTTCTCTGGGGTGGGGCGGGGGCGGGGGGGTGTTGCGATGGAGAGGAGGGGGTGTTGCGATGGAGAGTGTCCACGTCCCTTAATCTTACACTTTTCACTTACTGACTTAAAAGTGCAGCTTAGTGAGATAAAGGTGTAATTTTTTATATTATTCTAGGATAATCTGGCCCTGTGTTTTAAAAGGTACAAAGAAACTAAAGCTATGATCCCTAACATAGAAGGTAAATTATTTTTAAATTTAATTTATTAAATATAAAAATGAATGTTCTTTCTGTTTGTCTTCTGATGGCCAAATGTGAGTCCATTATTCTCTCAGACAGTTAAAGGCTAATCTAAATATTTAACTATATTAGCTATTGTGGTGATTTAAATATTTACATCTTTTTCTTGTAATTCACAGGAATGGAAACTGAAAGTGGAAATCAGGAAAAGGTAATGGAAGAAGAAAGCACTGAAAAGAAAAAAGAAGTTGAAAAAAAGAAACGGTCACGAGTTAAACAGGTGCTTGCAGATATTGCTAAGCAAGTGGACTTCTGGTTTGGGGATGCAAATCTTCACAAGGATAGATTTCTTCGAGAACAGATAGAAAAATCTAGAGATGGATGTAAGTTTGCTTCAGTAAAGGAACCAATTTTTAGATATGGTTGCCTTTAAATTTACTTATAAAATAATATATTCTTTTTTTTTTTTTTTTTTTGAGTTGGAGTCTTGCTCTGTTGCCCAGGCTGGAGTGCAGTGGCATGATCTCAGCTCATTGCAACCTCTGCCTCCTGGGTTCAAGTGATTCTCCTGCCTCAGCCTCCCGAGTAGGTGGGACTACAGGCAAGCACCACCATGCCCGGCTAATTTTTGTATTTTCAGTAGAGATGGGATTTTACTGTGTTGGCCAGGCTGGTCTCGAACTCCTGACCTTGTGATCTGCCCACCTCAGCCTCCCAAAATGCTGGGATTACAGGCGTGAGCCACTACACCCAGCCTAAAATAGTATATTCTATAATGTGTATATTCGTTTCTGTAAGTGTGTTCCGTGTAATCTGTTCTAATTTTTATTTAGTGAATGACAATCTTCTAAATAAAGACTGTTGGTAACAGTTTAGGCTATATTAAATAAGCAATTTCAAATCAAAGCTTTTAAGTATTTTGGGATTTAATTGCTTCAATAACCATTCATCATGTGTAACTCGAGAGTGCTATACTTTAGTTCATACAAGAAGGCATTTCACCTAGCTCAATGTTATTTTTTGTTTCATTTTTTTGAGGCAAGGTCTATCTTTTTTCCCTAGGCAGGAATGCACTGGCTCCATGTCTGCTCACTCCAACTTCTGCCCCCACCTCCACCCCCTCAGCCCCACCCAAGCGATCCTCCATCAGCCTCCCCAGTAGCTGAGAACACAGGCAAGCATCACCAGGCCGGCTTTTTTTTCTGGCATTTTTAAGAGATATGGGGTCCCACCATGTTGCCCAGGCTGGTCTTGAGCTCCTGAGCTCAAGAGATTTACCTTCACCCCTGAATTGCTGAGATAAGAAGCATTGAGCCACCATCCCCAGTTGCTAAATTTCAAATAGCCAACCTTGTGCTTGTTTCTAATAGGATGGGATCCAGATGTCCTCTTTGAATGTCTGGGTATTGCTAATAATTTGTGTTCAAATCTTAATCTGCAGTTACATACACTAAAATGTGTCATTTTAGGTCGCCAAATATGCAATGCCATTTAGACCCTCATACAGTTTTTTTTTGTTTGTTTTGTTTGAGTCTCTTTCTCCCAGGCTGGAGTGATCTCAGCTCACTGCAACCTCTGCCTCCTGGGTTCAAGCGATTCTCCTACCTCACTCTCGAGTAGCTGGGATTACAGGCGTGCACCACTACACCCAGCTAATTCTTTGTATTTTTAGTAGAGATGGGGTTTCACTATGTTGGCCAGGCTGGTCTTGAACTCCCCCATCCACCCGCCTTGGCCTCCCAAAGTACTAGGATTACAGGCATGAGCCACCGAGCCTGAGGGCCTGAGGGGCAGGTTAAATTGTACCAAATTGAATTAATCCTGCTGATACACTAACATATTAACTTTTTCATTTTCTTTAGATGTTGATATATCACTACTTGTGTCTTTTAACAAAATGAAAAAATTGACTACTGATGGGAAGTTAATTGCCAGAGCATTGAGAAGTTCAGCTGTTGTAGAGGTAAGAATCAAGAATAACTACTGTTTATATTTATAGTTTATAATTATAAAGAATGTTAACGTAATGATTATTATATGATTATAGCTTACAATTATAAATAATATTAGTTTTATTAATGTAATATACTATTTTAAAGCTTGATTTGGAAGGCACCAGAATCCGGAGGAAAAAACCTCTGGGGGAAAGACCAAAGGATGAGGATGAACGCACAGTGTATGTGGTAAGCTTAAGAACCCGGGTCCCCAGTCAGAAACTGGCACAGAAACAATATAATTAAGTTAAAAATTTATTGACATTCTGATTGTGAAAAACTCTAATATTGCTTTTAATTTATAATAGGAGTTACTTCCCAAAAATGTTAATCACAGCTGGATTGAAAGAGTATTTGGGAAATGTGGCAATGTTGTTTATATAAGTATACCACATTATAAGTCTACTGGAGATCCAAAGGGATTTGCGTTTGTGGAATTTGAAACAAAAGAACAAGCAGCAAAAGCAATTGAGGTAAGTCCAGATCCTAAAAAAAAAAAAAGAAAGAAAAGAAAACAAGTATTAAAATAGTAACTTTTGCAATCATTTCAGTTTCTTAACAACCCACCAGAAGAAGCACCAAGAAAACCTGGCATATTTCCTAAAACAGTGAAAAATAAGCCCATTCCAGCCTTAAGAGTTGTGGGTGAGTATTTTTCAATATTTAAATAGGTGTAGTTGAAGTAAGATGAACTAATAATGATGGCACTTTTACAGAAGAGAAGAAAAAGAAAAAGAAGAAGAAAGGCCGAATGAAAAAGGAAGACAATATCCAAGCCAAAGAAGAAAACATGGACACAAGCAACACCAGCATCAGTAAAATGAAAAGATCCAGACCCACATCTGAGGGCTCTGACATTGAGTCCACTGAACCCCAAAAGCAGTGCTCAAAGAAAAAGAAAAAACGGGACAGAGTTGAAGCATCTAGCTTACCTGAAGTCAGAACAGGGAAGAGGAAGAGAAGCAGCTCTGAAGATGCAGAATCCCTAGCTCCCCGATCAAAAGTAAAGAAAATTATTCAGAAAGACATCATTAAGGAAGCATCAGAAGCTTCCAAGGAAAATAGAGGTAAAACTACAAGGTTTTAATTAGATAAAACTAATTAATTTTAATTAATTAGTTTTTAATTAATTAGGTTTTAATTGGCTTCTGTTTCACCCATTTCACAGCCCCATGTCTTAACGGAGAGCTTTTTTATTTATTTCAAGATATAGAAATCTCTACTGAAGAGGAAAAGGATACTGGAGATCTAAAAGATAGCTCTCTCTTGAAAACAAAAAGGAAACATAAGAAAAAACATAAAGAGAGACATAAAATGGGAGAAGAAGTTATACCATTAAGAGTGCTATCAAAGTAAGTCTGTGGTTTAAATTCTGTCATTGGCTTAACAATCCATCACCATTGCTAAAGTGCAATTCCAATTTATATTCAACAGAGTTGCATATTAGCAACAGTAATGGCCTGTAGCCAAGAACTGCACACAGTGTGGGCGTTAACGCAATTGCTGATTAGGTAGGAACCACCACACTCAAACATGGAAGCACTTATTTTTGTCATGTCACAGCAAGTGCCTCCATGTTAAAGTAGAGGGGGCCCCTTAACAGATGTAAAAATACAAAATAAAGCTTAAATATATGAGCTGCGGTCAATACAATAAAGTTATTTTCTAAAAAAATAATAAAAATGTAAAAGGAAGACTTACCATCACCAAAACATGGAAGCACTTACTTCTTTAGTTTCAAAGCAAGTACATCCACGTTTAAGTGGTGGGGAGCCCAGTCTTGGAAAAAGTTAGAATCCTTTAACCTGTAACAAGCTTAGTAACCTTAAAACACAATAACAAAAAAATTTTGTAACAAAAGGTGTGCTGGCTTGGAGACACCTCCACTGAAACATGGAAGCACTTACTTTTGTTTCACACAGCAGGTACCCCCATGTTAAAGCAAAGGGGATCCCTTCAAATGAGGTTAGCGTGTTCTATTTTGGAGAAGTAAATTGGATTCACTCCTACTAAAACATGGAAGCACTTACTTTTAAAGTCACAGAAAGCACTTCCATGTTAAAGTTGAAGGGAGCCCACCCAACATACAACTTCTTTGGACTTCAGAGTATTTAGAGCTGAGGAGAAAGAAAACAAAATGGCATAACTTTAGAAGAAAAAAATTTTTTTACCTTCCTGAACTAGTTCCCAAAGATTCGTGTTCTCCTCCAGAAGGGTAAAAGGCAGGGACTTCAGCCACTTCTATTTATACTATTCTTAACTCTTGAATTCCTTTTGCCTTTTTATCTCAGAGAATCATTACAAGGGCCTTTTGTTATTTTAATGTATCAGCTCTCAGGGAATGTATGATCCTGGGTGGGTCTGGATCCTTTTTTTTTTTTTTGAAGTATACAGATGTCAATGTTAACAGCTAAAACCATTACCACAAGATATCTTCCTCTTAAAAAAAAAAAAGAAAAAGAAAAAGAAAATCTCCTATCTGCTTGTTTGATGGCATAGATTAGGGTAACAATGAGTGCTCCCACTGAGCCGAGAAAGGCATTGTGTTTCTATCTGGAGGAACTCTGTTTGAAGAAGCATCTACATGTTAAATGTATGTAAATAAATAGATTGCTTCCACGGGGTGTTTTGTTCTACTTAGAAATTCTTTTTGATTCAAGTAAATACTAAGGAATGTTATCTCTCAAATTGGAAGCAGTTTAACAAATCTTTAATCTCGCCCTTTTCCCACAGAGATGACTGATTTAGTAAATGTTACTAGTTAAGGAATTAATGCTAAAATTTTACTTTTATAAATTAAAATACTTCAGACACTCAAAAATTTAATTGGCAATCTTAAAACATTTAATCTGAATATTGGGGGAAGAGGAACTCCCTTAGCTTATTTTGCTAAATGTCTTTAGAACCTAGGAAATATTTTGAATATGTGTTTAAAGAAACAGGAAAGTTGGTGGAGGAGTTGCTCCAAGTCATTGTGAATGTATATATTTAGATATTTCCCTATTTACTTTTTATATTTAGTCATCTGTTATCACCATTTCTTTCCTTGTAGGAGCGAATGGATGGATTTGAAAAAAGAGTATTTAGCGCTACAAAAAGCTAGCATGGCTTCTTTAAAAAAAACAATATCCCAAATAAAATCAGAGTCAGAAATGGAAACAGACAGTGGAGTACCTCAAAACACTGGAATGAAAAATGAAAAAAGTAAAGATCACTGATAGTTTTGACAACATTATAATGTACTTATATATGTAAATGCTATCTCTGAGTTGTTATAAGATAAATTTTAATTTTAAAAAACTTGATTATTCTATTTCATTATTAGAACAATTCTTGATTTGTTAAGTTATCCAGATGTGTTACTTACTCTTGATATAAGAATATTTAAAAGGCTCATTTAAAACAATTTTTTAAATAACCTGAGTTTTCTCTACAGTTTTCATCAAGCACATGAGTGCAGAGTTTGCAGACTGAGCAAGTTTGTAGGAATGAAGATTGTAGTTTCTCACCTGTTAATTTCATTCTGTAGTATGCACCACAAGCAGGAACAAGTTAAAGCAGAATTCCTATGAATTCAAAATTAGGATACATTTTAAATTCTCATTTCTTGTAAAAATAAATGTTCACGTTTGAATAATAATGTATTTAAAACACAGTATCCTTTAACTTTTTTTTAACTTTATTGAGTAAAAATTTACTGTTCCTTTGTTCAGGGAGAAGGGGCAAATTTAAAGGCTTTACGAATGCTCTTCTAGCAGTAACAATTTGCATGTAGAATAATAAAACTTTCTGAGTTTTATTCATGGTATTTTGAAATAAGCAGTATGACATATAACCTTTAATTGTTTACTTTAAAATTAAATACGTTTTAAATTATTTAAATCTGCCTCAGGAATTATTCTAAGGTAGTCCTCCTAAGTATTAAATTGTTGTTAAGTGTAAGAGATTTAGTCCTGGTCTTTTTCCTTTTCTAATCAGCAGCCAACAGGGAAGAGTGTCGCACCCAGGAGAAAGTTAATGCAACAGGACCACAGTTCGTGAGTGGAGTGATTGTGAAGATCATTAGCACAGAGCCTCTACCTGGCAGGAAACAAGTCCGGGTAATGATTTTGAGCCCCTAGGGTATTTGTTCCTTTCTTCTCTTATTATTTCCCTGTGTGAAAATGTTTTGAATATGGAAGATAAAACAAATCAAGTTAGAATTTGTTTCCCTATGGTAAACTACTGTACAGTTTTAATTCCATGGTAACTCTTAGGTTTAATTTTGAAGCAAAATCTAGAGGCTGAAATTCCTCACTAAATCTATATGTAAGCACAGTTTAAACATCCTTCTCTATAGGAAAATTGTAACTTTTGCTTATTTTTATTGGCACTGATTTTTTTTGTATTACCTATGTGCTGATTATCTTTAAAATTTTAATTATAGAAAAGTAAAATATTTTTGAAAACCTCTTAAAATTTTTCACGCATGTGCCAAAAAACCCATACTTCTATATAATTTACGCTACAAATTGCTGTACATACAGGTTTATAATTTTTTCGCTTTATACAGTCTATCTTCTGTAGCCTTTTATACCACATTGGTAGCAATACTTTCTATTAGGGAAATTATATACTTTTAGGTGAGAGTACCATATCTTATTTACCCTTACCCTGCCTGTCACCCATTTAAGTGAATCCTTTTCTTTTTAAAAAGTGTGAAATGCTCTGTAACATACCACATATTTTAAGTATTTTCTTATACTGACATTCATCATCACTTAGTATGTTGTTTTGGTTTTACGTAGACTCATCAGTCACAGGTTTTAACTTGAATACCATTGAGGTGGTGGTTTGTTTATCTGTAAGCCCTCCTTATCTGAAATACTGTCCTACAATCCTATAGCTGTCACTAAGAAACAAATTTTGATCCTCTTTGCAATGTTGGTGAAGGATTTGGCCAAATCCAAATTGCTATTACCAGCTTGCATTTCAGGAGACAGCTGAAAATTGAGGGATGTAAATACTGCTCTGATTAATCAGATTGCAAAACATTTAATACAAAAATTGCTCAGAGTTATTTCTAATCAACTCATTAAATAACTTCTGTTATTTAAAGGGTAACTTTATCAATTACAAATTCATCATTTATGATCATCAAAATCATAAAATCAATCCCTGCATTAATCCAGTTAGTAGTTACTTACATTTTGCTGAAACAAAAACTGAGCTGTGTTGGTTACAACTGTCTGTGACTTGCCCATGTGATTACCAGGCTAATTTGTCATTCTATGGGTTTTAAATTCTAAGGGTTTTAAATCAAGAGATTAGCCTGACATTATAATGGATATTTAGTATATATCTTTTGAGTTGTAGTAATTGAATATGCTCAAAAGTCAGTTATAAAACTCATTACTACTACTGAATGCATTCAAATTTCAACAATACTGAGTTTTTTACTTGCTTTATATCTAAATTTGGTACTAATTAACTAGGTAAAGAAGTGGGAAGGACTAGCAAGTGTAAGTCTCTGCAGTTTTTTTTTTTTTAATTTGGCAAACAGTTACTAAATGCCTGTTTTGTGATAGTTGCTGAGTGTTGGGATGAGTTAAGATCTAGTCCCTGGCTTCTAGAAACTCACAGATTTTATTATATATTTTTTATTATTAACTGATAAACTTTTCTTATTCTATGATGAAATAATACTTCCAGGTATTGCTCAGTTCTTTCCGTAATTCAAACATCTAAAAATTCAACATCTGAAAGTAATGTAAATTAGTTATGTCTGAAATTTTAGGTCAAAACGAAAGGGAGGCAAGATAAATAAGATTTCCCCCCCCCCCCCATTTAGCAATCTCCAGTTACTTCTTTAGCTTTATGAATGGAAGTTGATGAATTAGGAATTAGTGTAACATTCCTGCATAAATGCATTGTATACTCTGTAAAACCTGCTGTGAAAAAAAAAGTTGATTAAGAATGCAGGAATCTGGTTAATTTGCCCTCACAGCAGGCAGTGTAGGTAAAACTTTTCCTTGCTGGGTGACCACAACTTGTTTAGAAGAGGTTACTTAGGTATTTTTTTCAGAAAGTAAGAGCTCTTGAACAATGTGGAAATCTAGTATTTTAGGTTTGGTTAAACTGTTTTTCATGAGTTGTTATTAAAAGTGGAATGATTTGTACACATATTTTAAAGTCATAGTGATTTTCTACAGGTGAGTAAAAACAAACCTCCCTTAATCCTTTTTTTTTTTTTTAATTTTATTCCTTATACTACTCCCAGATGTGAACGCTTCCTGATTTGGGGGTTGGGGGACACTATTTCTGCTTTCTGCTCTATAAATCTGTTGTCCTTATAGAATATTCCCATTCTAGTGCAGATTTTAAGGATGTGATTTCAAGAAAATAAATGAAAATAAATTACTAGAGTTGATATTATTCAAATCTATTTTTAAGAACATGCTTTACAGGAAATATTTGATACAGGATATTTGCTCCTCATTAGACTGCAAAATGCTTTATTTACATAATATATTCTGGCATAACCATTGGAATAGTTTTAGAATTATTGTGAAACTTTTTAAATTTTATTTGTCTTTCTACTTAACTCTAATGCAGGATACTTTGGCAGCAATCTCAGAAGTTCTTTATGTTGATTTGCTAGAAGGGGATACAGAATGCCATGCTAGATTTAAAACTCCTGAGGATGCTCAAGCAGTAATAAATGCCTATACAGAAATTAACAAGAAACACTGCTGGAAACTCGAGATCCTTTCTGGTAAAACTTCATAGACGTTTCCTTTTTTTTTTGTTATCATCCTTATTGTGAGTAATATATTTTCTGAGTTTGGCTAATGAAACTAGTTTTTTTTTTTTGGTCTTGCTCTGTCGCTCAGGCTGGAGTACAGTGGTGTGATCTCAGCTCACCGCATCCTCCACCTCCCAGTTTCAAGCAATTCTCCTGCCTCAGCCTCCAGAGTAGCTGGGATTACAGGCGTGTGTTACCACGCCCGGCTAATTTTTATATTTTTATTTTATTTTTTGAGACAGAGTTTCGCTCTTGTTGCCCAGGCTGGAGTGCTGTGGTGCGATCTCGGCTCACTGCAACCTCTGCCTCCCGGGTTGAAGTGATTCTCCTGCCTCAGCCTCCCAGGTTAGCTGGGATTACAGGCATGTGCCACCATGCCCCGCTATTTTGCATTTTTAATAGAGACGGGGTTTCTCCATGTTGGTCAGGCTGGTCTTGTCTCGAACCCCGGACCTCAGGTGATCTGCCTGCCTTGGCCCCCCAAAGTGCTGGGATTACAGACATGAGCCACTGCACCAGGCAATTTTTATATTTTTAGTAGAGAAGGGGCTTTGCCTTGTTGGCCAGGCTGACCTCTGGTGATCCTCCCTCCTCGCCCTCCCAAAGTGCTGGGATTAGAGGTTTGAGCCACCGCACCTGGCAAAACTAACTATTTTTTTTCTATTCTGTAATATGTGTAAAGTAGCATTAAATATAATCAAAAACTGTCCTAGTTACTATTATTGAGAATGTAATGCCTTGAATATGGTTTTTCAGATATGTTCTTCTTTTCATCCATCAGAGTCTTTGTTTGTTTTTAAGGTGATCACGAACAAAGGTATTGGCAGAAGATTTTGGTTGATAGACAGGCAAAACTTAATCAGCCTCGGGAAAAGAAAAGAGGCACTGAAAAGGTAATTGATTCATTTTTGTTTTTTTAGACTAAACTTTCCTTGAACGTTTAATGCCAAAGTCAGTACTAGGTAGTCATAAAATGATCGTAGTTTTGCTATTACCTAACAAAAATTTACTGAGTATATACTATGTTTTAGGTTGGGAGGGAAAAGTCATTTCTCTAGATTTCAAAATGTATGAAATTGAATTATTTTTCTCACAAGGATACATAATTTTAATTTAGATTTTTTCTTTTTAACCAGTGATATACTTTAACAGTCTTGATATCTGGCTGCTATGTCTTGTAGTTTGGTGATAAATGATTATAGAAAGATTATCTTCATGGTAAAAACACAATGTATTCAGAATGTAGTTTATAAAGATAGGAGGCTCCATAGATAAGATGGAGAGACTTTATGCATAGTGTTTCCTATAGCAACGATAAGCTTTATTCCTCTTTCTCTAAGATAGTAGGTAATACAAACAAGCTTAAATAATTTAAAGCAAGCCCCTCTTTCAGTAATTTTATTTTTCTGTCACTTAAAATGATACTGGTCTGATCAGTAGTGGAATCACACCTGGGAATAGCCACTGCTTTCCAGCTTAGGCAACATAGCAAGACCCTGTCTCTTAAAGTTTTAAAACAAATTATTATACATGTAAAGGTTAGTACATTTTAAAAGTGCCTGGAACAAAGTAGGGTACATAATACCTAATATTAACTACAGTCATCAAAATTTAGAAATGCATATTATAAAAGTGTAAGAAAAATGAAAAAGATGAACTTCCTTTTTTGTTAGGTGAGCAAGTTAAAAGTCCTATTTCCTGTAATCTAAGCTTGTTGATTTGGGGTCATATTTATACAAAAAAAAAAAAAAACTAACTTAAAAAGCAAGTGTTTTTCATCAACCTTCTTCTACCATTGCCCAGAATTTATCGTGATTTGTGGGGAGGTGTGAATTTTGTTTCCTTGAAAGGAGACTGAACTTGCTGTGGTGGGGAAGCCTCCTGTGCTTCCCAAGGATTCTTTCAGGGATATGAGGTGTTAATTTCAAAGCCAGTTTGAGATTATTCAAATGTTAAAATCACTAATCCAGAACTGGTAACTGAAGTGAAGTCACTTTGTTAAATAATACCCTTCTAATTGGTGTGAAATTTCATTTAGATTTTATATATTTTTAAAACTAGGAATAAACCTTTTATTTTTCATTTTAAAAATTTAGAGCTCATCTTTGACTAGGAAGTTCTTAAATTGAGTTGGAACACAACTCAGTTATGACGTCAGGATTGTCGTTAACGCAATTTGTTAAGTAGCTATGGAAGTAGCCAGTTGACTCTTGTCGTGAAATGAAACGGAGGTTAACACAGAAAGTAAGTGCTGTGCAAAGCTTGTTGGAAAAAAGGAGTAGACCATAATTAGTTTAGCCAACTTGTTTGCTAGTTAATTCAGCTAATGATTTTTGAGTGCCTTGTGTTAGGCACCATTCTTGGAACCTGGGGTAAAGCCATGAATCACAAAGTCCCCTACTTTCATGAAGCTAACAGATAAACAATATAGTTTAGGTGATGACCAGTGCTAGACAGAAAAATAAAGTGTATTGCAGGAGAGCATTGTAACAGCTGAGGTTGTCTGGAAAACTCTCTGCAAAGGTTATGTTACAGCCAAGACCCATAAGGAAGTGAGCGAGTAAGCCCCAGTAAAGTTTAGAAGTATAGCTTTTCAGGCAGAAGCAAAGAAAATGCAGAGACCGGAAGGGAAGACTGTCAGGGACTAGAAGACCAGTGTAGTTGGAGTACTAGGAGCATCTTAGTAAGTAATGGAAATTGCTTAGAAAAAAAACTAGTAGAACATCAGTGAATCTGCCAAAAGGTTACATAAATACCTTACTGACCTGACAGCCCAATATTTCTACAATAGTGTTGTATTTGGCCCATAATTGAGTAAAAGTAAAAAAATTCTGGCTCTTAATATTCACATTATGGGGCCAGGCACGGTGGCTCATGCCTATAATCCCAGCACTTTAGGAGGCTGAGGCTGGTGGATCACTTGAGGTCAGGAGTTGGAGACCAGCCCGGCCAACATATTGAAACCCTGTCTACTAAAAATACAAAAATTAGCCAGCTGGCACGCACATGTAATCCCAGCTACTGGGGAGGCTGAGGCAAGAGAATTGCCTGAACCTAGGAAGTGGAGGTTGCAGTGAGCCAAGATGGCGCCACTGCACCACAGCCTGGGCAACAGAGCAAGACTCTGTCTCAAAAAAACGAAACTAAAATAATATATTAAACACAAGTAAATTAAATTAGTGATGTATCACAAAAGATCAAGAAGATGAAGGAAAGGTCTGCCAAAAGGGATGTCTCCTATTCATTTTGCTAGCCTAAATCTTTGTAGTATGCCCTATGATTTTGAACACATTGGTAAAAATAGATAACAGCTACTAGAGACAGAATGAAGCTTATTTCTCTTTGGCTTTTAAAACATTTGAATTCTTTTCTGTAAAAATTACTGATACTCAGCAGGTAAAGGCAGAATTTATAAAATTTGTGAACAGCAGCATGGGTATGATAGAGTTCTAAACATCTTTGGATTTTAATTCACCTCAATGATGAATAATAGGCTTTTAGTTTAATCTAAAAGTGAATTCCTTCCAATTGCCATATGGTACCAAACACTTTAAAACTATTTAAATGAATACTCATTAGAATCTATATTTTTTAGAGAAAAAGATTTGCATTTACTCCAAAGTTTAATATTTTAACTTTTTTTTCTCAAGGAAGCTTTTGGAATATTTTAGACATTTTAAACAGTTTTCTTTTTTATTCTGTGTAATTTCATTTGCCTTCCTTAAAAATATTCAACAATTTATGTAAGGGTGTAAGAAATAGGAAATAGTAAATAGCCTTAATAACAGATTTGATTTGTAATTGATTTGACCTGAGCATAATTATCTCATTTGTCATCTTCTCGCTGTTTTTAAAAAATTTCCATTTAAGCTGATAGCTGTGAAATTTTTTCTAGTCATAGTTTTGTGTGTGTGTGTGTGTGTGTGTGTGTGTGTTTTGAGTATCCAATACATTTTAATTTTTGATTTATTTCTCTTTAGTTAATCACCAAAGCTGAAAAGATTAGACTGGCAAAGACTCAACAAGCGAGTAAACATATAAGATTTTCTGAATATGATTGAAAAAAAAAACAGTTCACCTCTTAATACTTCACAAGATACTTGAGCTGTTCTTGGGAGATTCACTTTTATTATGGTAGCACTGCATAATTAATGTGTTTTTAATTAAAAGAAATATCTTTGTTCCTCAACTTGTAAATAAGACTTTTTTCTAGAGACAAATATGATGTATACCACAATTTTTCTTAAACATTTTATTTGTTGAAATTATCTTAGATGTCAGTGTCAGGTGATTTAGTAAATAAATGTGTTTTGAACATTATTTGGAAATGTGTTGATTTTGTTTTTATACTGTAAAAACAAAACATAATTGCAAAAATACTACATGAATATATATAAAGTTTAGAGAAATGTTTAACACTAAACTCTCACTGTACTTAGTTTGTAACTTGCAATACCTTCAATACCTTTTCATGTTGATTTATACAGACATGTTTAATAGTTCATTCTATTCATTCCACTTTGCCTATCTGAGCTTCCATTGAACAATAGACCATAGGGATTGGTTCTAATTAAAATGTTAAATTTTTAAAAGAATTGAGTTTCTTCATAAATCAAGTTAAATGTTTTGTTTTGGTTAGACAAAATAAAATGTATTAGGTGCTATTAGCACAAGAAGGAAAAAATAGAGGAATCAACCTTAGGCAGAACTGAGCTCTGTTATTTTATTCAGGAAAATCATGGGAGTGAAGCATTTAAAGCCTTCCCAGAATTGAACTTAACTGGGTCCATACAGGACTGTCATCTTAATCTCTTATCAAAATCTCAAGGAAGTACTCTGGACAGCCATGGAGTTAATTTCATTGGGCTACAAACCAAATCCTGAATCTGTCAGCTTTATCCAAAATTGAGGGTCTTATTTGGCCACCCCCTTCCATGGATTGTGGAGAGGCTACAATCAGGATCTGTTCACTTCTATAAGCCAAATATTTGAGGAGATTGGCCATCTCACTGGTTGGAGTGACAGCTAATTGCTACAAAGTTAGTGCCATGGCAAGTTCCCACTCACCCGCTCCATGAAGTTTTTCTCTTTCCATGAAGGAAAGCTAGCATATGCATTTTCATGGAGGAGAAGGAAGATGTATAAATAGTTGCTAAGTCCTATTATGAGGATTATAACTAAAGATGCTCCAGTAGATCCAAAATATCAGGAGTAAATCAAGGTTTCAAGAATTCAATTGATGTCAGTGAGGAATGTCTTAAGGCAACATGGAGATGTTACCAAGTAAAATTTCAGAAATCCTCCCGTTAGCAGTTTGTAAAACTATCATTCAACAAATATTTATTGAATATCTGTGTTTGGACATTGTAACACTTGAGAAACATTGAACAAAACAAAGATCCCTCACTCATGGAGTTTATATTCCAGCAGCAGATACAGACAGTAAACAAAAATAAGTAAATTACACAGTTTGTTAGAAAGTGACAAGTCCTAGGAAGAAAAAATGCAAGGGAGGAGAACCCCTATTTATTCTTTCTTTCTTTCTTTTCTTTTCTTTTTTTTTTTTGAGACAGAGCCTCCAGGCTGGAGTGCAGTGGCATGATCTTGGCTCACTGCAACCTCCACCTCCTGGGTTCAAGCAATTCCTTGCCTCAGCCTCCCGCGTAGCTGGGACTACAGGCGCATGCCGCCACTCCTGGCTAATTTTTGTATTTTTAGTAGAGACGGGGTTTCACCATCTTGGCCAGGCTGGGTTTAAACTCCTGACCTCGTGATCCACCCTCCTCGGCCTCCCAAAGTGCTGGAATTACAGGCGTGAGCCACCACACCTGGCCCTCACTTTGTTTCATAACATTTAATTAAGTCCTACAAAAAGCTTTTGCATTGACAACTATCTTTTTAACTTCTCATTGAAGTAAATCATATGTACCAAAAAGTGTACCAAAGATCTATGAAATTTTACAAAAGGAGTGTACCTGGGTAACTGCACTCAAACAGATTACTTCAAGGCCAAAGATGCATGTCGGGGGAAAAAAAGAAACACATTATTAGCTGGGCAAGTTGGCACATTCCTGTAGTCCCAGCTACTCAGGATGCAGAGGCAGGAGAATTGCTTGAGGCCAGGAGTTTGAGACAAGCCTGGGCAACATAGGAAGACCGGGTCTCCTATTTAAAAAATTAACCAGGCTGTCCGGGTGCGGTGGCTCACGCCTGTAATCCCAGCACTTTGGGAGGCTGAGGCAGGTGGATCACGAGGTCAGGAGATCGAGACCATCCTGGCTAACACAGTGAAACCCCGTCTCTACTAAAAATACAAAAAATTAGCCAGGCGTGGTGGTACATGCCTGTGGTCCCAGCCACTAGGGAGGCTGAGGTAGGAGAATCGCTTGAACCCGGAAGGTGGAGGTTTCAGTGAGCTGAGATCGCGCCACTGCACACCAGCCTGGGTGACAGAGCAAGACGCCATCTCAAAAAAAAAAAAAAGATGTGTTGACACATGTCTGTAGTCCTAGCTACTTGGGAGGCTGAGACTGAAGGATTCGTTAGTCTAGTAGTTGGAGGCTGCAGTGAGCTATGATGGTTCCACTGTACTCCAGGCTGGATTACAGAGTGAGACTCTCTGTCTCTGAAAAACAAACCAGAATTATATCAGCCTTGGAACTGATCAGAAAAATGTGATGGCCAGGCATGGTGGCACATTCCTGTAGTATCCTCCTCAGGAGCCTGAGGCGGGAGAATTGCTGGAGCCCAGGAGTTCAAGACCACCCTGGGCAATATAGTGAGAGTCTCTCTTAAAAAAGAAAAAAACCCCAAATGGCCAGGCACAGTGGCTCACACCTGTAATCCTGGCACTTTGGGAGGCTGAGGTGGGTGGATCACCTGGGGTCAGGAGTTCGAGACCAGCCTGGCCAACATGGTGAAACCCCATCTCTACTAAAAATACAAAAAATTAGCCAGCATAGTGGTGCATGCCTGTAATCCCAGCTACTCAGGAGGCTGAGGCAAGAGAATCGCTTGAATTCAGGAGGCGGAGGTTGCAGTGAGCTGAGATCGTGCCATTGCACTTCCAGCCTGGGCAACAAGAGTGAAACTCCGTCTAGGAAAACCCCACAAAGAAACAGATTATCAGCAACCCCTCCTTCAGTCACTTCCCAAGGGAGAACTCACCAGAATAGATTAGTTGTATCCAATTTGTGCTTTATATAAAAAGAATCATACATTTAGATGATCTTTGGTGTTATTGGTTTGCTCATTACAAGATTGTTCCTAAAAGAAAAAAACAAAAAATCCGTCAAAAAAAGACTATTTACATGATGGTATATTTATACAATGAAATACAATACTCAGCAGTGGTTATGACTGAAGTGGAGGCCGGGTGCCATGGCTCATGCCCGTAATCCTAGCACTTTTGGGAGGCTGAGGCGGACGATCACCTGAGGTCAGAAGTTTGAGACCAGCCTGGTCAACATGGTGAAACCCCATCTTTACTAAAAATAGAAAAATTAGCTGGGCATGGTGGTGGGTGCCTATAATCCCAGCTACTCAGGAGGCCGAGGCAGAAGAATCACTTGAACCCGGGAGGCGAGGTTGCAGTGAGCTGAGATCTTGCCAGTGAACCTAGCCTGGGCAAAAGAATGAAACTCTGTCTTACAAAAAAAAAAAAAAAAAAAAAAAGACTGAAGTGGAAAAAAGATGTTCCAATTCAGTACATATGGTATTAGCCCATCTAGATAAACATATTAAGGAAAATATATCTCCTTTTAAGAAGCATATATCATATATGTGCTGTTATATACATTAAACACATTTTAGAATAATATAGGAAATGAACAGTGGTCCTTTTTTTTTTCTTTTACCACATAGGATGTCCAAGTTTATAACAGTGGTTGCTTTGATGAAGAACTGAAGCAAAGATGGAAACTTTTTTTAATTTAGTATTTGTGTCCTGTTTGTATATTTTAATAAAAATGCATTATTTTATTTAATGTATTTTAAGTAGACAAATGGAAAGTTGAAGAATCTTTCAAATACAATCTTCATGTTTCATATGAAAGCCTTTGTTGACAACCACACAATAGGACGTTGGCCCTTGAACTTAAGGTGCACTGTTGAAAAAGTGTATGAAAATTCTAGGAGGAACCGGCAACCCACTAAAATTGTTCGTTTTAGCTTAGAATCAGTCCATTTTTGCAGTCATCATTTTAGCCCTTAAAATAAAATTGGACTGGTAATTAGTATGCATATCTATTACTCAGGAAATCCAAACAGTTTTAAGAGAAAGGAATGAAAAAAAAAAAAACAGAAAAGAATGTTTGGGAGCTTTAGCTACCATTACTAAGGAAACCAACTCTATTTGCCCTCTCTAGTTTAAAAAAGAAAAAGCCACAAAGTTTGATAAATAGTAAGGAAACAAAGGCTGAATGAAGGAATGAAAATATACTTTTAAATTATCTCAAGTACTGACAAAAGTATAAAAATACAATGACCTGAAAATTCTAGTTAGAAATTACTTTCCCTATCATTGCAATCACTCAACAAAAATTTATTGTGGAAAAAAACTAGAGAAAACATAAGAACAAAAAAAAGGCATCAAAATTCTGTACATACTATTACAGTTTTATAACTTCCTTTGTAAAAATTTTTCTTTCAAAAAGCATTCTCTATCCCCTCGAAGTCAGGTTTTTAATCTGTAAAACAGAGATAATATTATCTACCATCTCATACACTCTTGGCAGATGGTAATCACTCAACTGCTAGTCCACTGCACCTATGTCTCTCTAAAGTAGCATTCTTTTTTGGTTTTGATTTTGTTTTTGAGACAGGGCCTCTCTCTGTCACCCATGCTGGAGTGCAGTGGCATGATCATAGCTCACTGCAGCTTCGACTTCCTGGGCTCAAGTGGTCTTCCCACTTCAGCCTCCCAAGTAGCTAGGACTTACAGGCACAAATGCACCATGCCAGGCTAATTTTTAAAATTTTTTGGCAGAGAGGCTATCCCTATGTTGCCCAGGCTGGGTGACGACGATGATGATGATGATTACTATTATTATTTGTAGAGATGGGCTCTTGCTTTGTTGCCCAGACTGGTCTTGAACTCCTGGCCTTAACCTATCCTCTCACCTTGGCATTCAAGAGTGCTGGGATTGGCCGGGTGAGGTGGCTCATGCCTGTAATCCCAGCACTTTGGGAGGCCCAGGCAGGCGGATCACCTGAGGTCGGGAGTTCGACATCAGCATGACCAACATGGTGAAACTCTGTCTCTACTAAAAATACAAAATGAGCTGGGCGTGGTGGCACATGTCTGTAATCCCAGCTACTTGGGAGGCTGAGGCAGGAGAATCACTTGAACTTAGGAGTCGGAGGTTGTGGTGAGCCGAGATTGCACCATTGCACTCCAGCCTGGGCAACATGAGCGAAACTCTGTCTCAAAAAAAAAGAGTGCTGGGATTATGGTCTTTATGATGCCCAGCCAGGCTGGGTTATTTTTAATAGCTGTTTAGTATGCCATTATAGATATCCATCATAATTTACTAATTAATCCATTATTGCTTGGCTTTTTTTTTTTTTTTTTTTTGAGACAGGTTCTCGCTCTGTCACTCAGGCTGGAGTATAGTGGTACAATCACACCTCACTGCAGCCTCAACCTCCTGGGCTCAAGTGGTCCTCCTGCCTCAGCCTCCTGAATAGCTAGGATTTCGGGTGCCACCACCACCATGACCAGCTAATTTTTTGTAGAGATGGGTTTTGCCATGTTGCCCAGGTTGGCTTGAAATTCCTGGGCTCAGGTGATATGCCTGCCTTGGCTTCCCAAAGTGCTAGGATTACAGGTGTGAGCCACCACACCCAGCCTTATTTTAATTTTTTTTTTTTTTTTGAGACGGAATCTCACTCCGTCGCCCAGGCTGGAGTGCAGTGGTGCGATCTCCACTCACTGCAAGCTCCACCTCCCGGGTTCACGCCATTCTCCTGCCTCAGCCTCCCGAGTAGCTGGTACTGCAGCCACCTGCCACCAAGCCCGACTAATTTTTTGTATTTTTAGTAGAGATGGGGTTTCACCATATTGGACAAGCTGGTCTCCTATTCCTGACCTTGTGATCCACCCGCCTTGGCCTCCCAAAGTGCTGGGATTACAGGCATGAGCCACTGTGCCCAGCTGACACCTCAGCTATTTTTTAATATAGAGATTTCGATAATGTCTAGTTTTACAGAGTGTGCAGAAAATTAACTTAGGAAATAGGTACGATGTGCTTAGTACAATATCTGGCATGTAGCAAGTGCTTTATAAATGTTCATTGCTATAACAATGAAAATTGAAGCCGAGAGTGCTGGTACGTGCCTGTAGGCCCAGCTACTGTGGAGGCTGAGTCAGGAGAATTGGATGAGACCAGAAGTTTGAGGCTGTAGTCCTCAATGATCACATCTGTGAATACCCACTGCACTCCAGCCTGGGCAACAGAGCTTGATTGATCCTGCCTCAAAAGAAATAAAAATAAAAATAAATTTTTTTAAAAGATGAGAAGCCAGCTGGGGTGGCTCACATTTGTAACCCCAGCACTTTGGGAGGCTGAGGTGGGCAGATTGCTTTAGCTTAGGAGTTCAAGACCAGCCTGGGCAATATGGTGAAAACCCATCTCTACAAAAATTTCAAAAGTTAGCCAGACATGTTGGCGTGGGCCTATAGTCCTAGCTACTTGGAAGGCTGAGGCAGGAATATTGTTTGATCCTGGGAGATTAAGGTTGCAGTGAGCTGAGATTGTGCCACTGCACTCCAGCCTGGGTGACAGAGTGAAACCCTGTCTCCAAAAAACAAAAACAAAACCAAAATAAAACAAAAAAAAACAGTTTCCATTAAGAACCAATAAAGGAAAAGGAGAAAAACAAAACTCAATAGTCTCAAATCTACATCAAAAGTCAATTTAGAAAACTTCTTTAATATCTATAATATTGAATCACAATATTAAATAATTGTCATCCTTTATGCTTACTGTTGTGACTTAAATAGGAAATAAAATCTCTCTTCTCTCTTGAAGTTGGAGAACCTGAGGATGGGCTAACTAGCTTAAACTTTTTTTTTTTTTTTTGAGAAAGGATCTCTCTCTGTTGCCCAGGCTGGAGTGCAGTGGTATGATCTTGGCTCACTGCAACTTCCGCCTCCTGGGTTCAAGGGATTCTACTGCCTCAGCCTCCCTAGAAGCTGGGATTACAGGCGCCCGCCAATACGCCCGCCTAATTTTTGTATTTTTAGTAGATACGGGGTTTTGCCATGTTGGCTAGGCTGGTCTCGAACTCCTGACCTCAGGTGATCTGCCCACCTCGGCCTCCCAAATTGCTGGGATTACAGGTGTGAACCACTGTGCCCAGCCCTAGGTTAAATAGTTCTATTGATGTTTCCAAAAGTTCAGATTCTTTCTGGAAAGGGAGGACTGCACTAGGAATAATCATAGAATCAAAACTTTCATGCACAAAAAGACACATGAGCATCATCTAATAAATATTCCTTCTTGTTACAGATGAGAAACAGGCTGGGCATGGTGACTCATGCCTGTTTACCCAGCACTTTACAAGGCCAAGATGGGAGGATCACTTGAGCCCAGGGGCTCGAGACCAGCCTGGGCAACATGGTGAGACCTCATCTCTACAAAAACACATAAAAATTAGCCAGGCATGGTGGCACACGCCTGTAGTCCCAGCTACTTGCTACTTGGGAGGCTGAGGTGGGAGGATCACCTGAGCCAAGGGAGTTTGAGGCTGCAGTGAGCCGTAGTTATACCACTGTACTGCAGCCTGGGTGACAGGGTAAGATGCTGTCTCAAACAAAATAAAAAGGAAGGAAGGAAGGAAGGAGAGACAGAGCTGTTCAGTTCTCTTGCCCAAAGTCACAGGACAAGTGTAACAAACAGACTCATCCCAGATGTCAGAGTTAGGTGCTGAAGCCAGCAACAAGGAGAAACACCAAATAGTGAAATTTATCCTGAGAAAATATGCCTCGCTGGAAAAATGTATTCTTTAAACCCAAACAGAGCCAATTTTCCCACCATTATTAGAATGGTCCGTATTCCTTTAGTTGGACAACAATATGCGTAAGGGTCATTTCAAAGGAAAAATGTGAATCTTTAAACCCTACATCACACTCAAATGTACTTTGATGTTCATTCTAGAGAAGAATGTGAAAAATCAGGAGTTGGCCAGGAGCAGTGGCTCACACCTGTAATCCCAGCACTTTGGGAGGCTGAGGCGGACAGATCACCTGAGGTCAGGAGTTTGAGACCAGCCTGACCAACATGGTGAAACCACGCCTCTACTTAAAATACAAAATTGGCCAGGTGTGGTGATGCATGCCTGTAGTCCCAGCCGCTGGAGAGGCTGAGGCAGGAGAATCACTTCAACCCGGCAGGCAGAGTTTGCAATGAGCCAAGATGGTGCCACTGCGCTCTAGCCTGGGTGACACAGCAAGATTCCATCTCAAAAAAAAAAAAAAAAAGGAAAAAAGACAACTAAGGAGTCAAGGAAGAGCGTATTCCCGTTTTCTCAATTAAGTAGACGTTCTCATACAAGCTAAACTACTATACTCTCCAGCCTACAACACCATCTCTAAAAAAAAAAAAAAAAAAAAAAAAAGGCCGGGCGCGGTGGCTCACGTCTGTAATCCCAGCACTTTGGGAGGCCGAGGCGGGCGGATCATGAGGTCAGGAGATCGAGACCACGGTGAAACCCCATCTCTACTAAAAATACAAAAAAAAAAAAAAAAGCTTGAGGCCAGGAGTTTTAGAAAGACTGAGCAACAGAGGCCGGACACAGTGGCTCACGCCTGTAATCCTAGCACTTTGGGAGGCTGAGGCGGGCGGATCACGAGGTCAGGAGATTGAGACCATCCTGGCTAATACGGTGAAACCCCTTCTCTACTAAAAATACAAAAAATTAGCCAGGTGTGGTGGCACGTGCCTGTAGTCCCAGCTACCCAGGAGGCTGAGGCAGGAGAATCCCTTGAACCCAGGAGGTGGAGGTTGCAGTGAGCCAAGACTGCACCACTGTACTCCAGCCAGGAAGACAGAGCAAGACTCTGTCTCAAAAAATAAATAAATAAATAAAATAAAGACTGAGCAACAGAGTGAAACCTCATGTCTACAAAATTAAATATTAAAAAATTAGCTGGGTATGGTGTTGTGTGCCTGTAGTCCCCCCTCCCCAGGAGGCTGAGGCAGCAGGAATCTGAGGATGCAGTGAGCTATGATCACTCCACTGTACTCTAGCCTATGTGACAGAGCAAGACCCTGTCTCTAAAAACAATTAAATAAATAAAAATTAATTAATAAATATCATACTCTCTTCTCCTCCCCTCACCTTCCTTCCTTTTCTTCACTTCTTTTCGTCCTTTTCTCCGTTTTCCTAGCTGTAAGGTTTTTTTTTTTGAGACATGGTCTTGCTCTGTTGCCCAGGCTGTAGTGCAGTGGTGCTATCATAGCTCATCAACCGCCTAGGTTCAAGTGATCCTCCCACCTCAGCCTCCTGTGTAGCTGGGACTATAGGTGCATGCAACTACACCATGTTGAAACCCCGTCTCTACTAAAAATACGAAAATTAGCCAGGCGTTGTGGTGCTTGCTTGTAATTCCCTCTGTGTGGAAGGCTGAGTCAGGAGAATCGCTTGAACCTAGGAGGCGGAGGTTGCAGTGAGCCAAGATTGTGCCACTGCACTCTAGCCTGGGCAAGAGAGTGAGACTCCGTCTCAAAAAATTTTAAATAAATAAATAAAAAAAAATACAAAAATTAGCCAGACGTGGTGGCATGCGCCTGTAGTCCCAGCTATTCAGGAGGCTGAGGCAGGAGAATCACTTGAACCCAAGAGGTGGAGGTTGCAGTGAGCCGAGATCATGCCACTGCATTCCAGCCTGGGCAACAGAGCATCTTGCTTTAAATAGCTTCTATTGCCAATAAAATAAACCCATGGATTTTACTTCTTATAGCCATATTAATTTGGGGTGTCAGCTTTTGTTTTTGTTTTTGATTTTTTCATACGATGCTGTAGTTTTTATCACATCACTTCCTCATCTGTGAATATATTATTTCCCTGTGTACTGGTTGCCATATCTCTAGGCTTAGGGTTCTGTGCTTACTGTCAACTCTCTAACCTCATTTTTTGTTATTCGCTAACATGATCTTCTTCTTAAGCCAAGTTAATTGTCAGATAGCACACAGCACATGACTAGCTAGTTCCTTTCTTTTTTTTTTTTTTTTTTTTGAGACAGAGTCTCACTCTGTCACCCAAGCTGGAGTGCAGTAGCATGATCTCTTCTCACTGCAACCTCTGCCTCCCGGGTTCAAGTGATTCTCCTGCCTCAGCCTCCTGAGTAACTGGGACTACAGGCGTCTGCCACCACGCCTAGCTAATTTTTGTATTTTTAGTAGAGACGGGGTTTCACCATATTGGCCAGGCTGGTCTCAAACTCCTGACCTTGTGATCTGCCTGCCTCGGTCTCCCAAAGTGCTGGGATTACAGGCGTGAGCCACTGCGCCTTGCGCTAGTTCCTTTCTTTAGGCCCTTAGAAACACCTGAAATGGGGCCCAGTGCAGTGGGCTTGCACATGTGATCCAGCACTTTGGGAGGCCAAGGTGGGCAGATCACCTGAGGTCAGGAGTTTGAGACAAGCCTGGCCAACATGGTGAAATTGAAACCCCGTCTCTACTAAAAATACAACAACTAGCCAGGCTTGGTGGCGCACGCCTGTAATCCCAGCTACTCAGGAGGCTGAGACAGGAGAACCGCTTGAACCTGGGAGGTAGAGGTTGCAGTGAGCCGAGATCACGCCACTGCACTCCAGCCTGGGCAACAGAGCAAGACTCTGTCTCAAAAAAAAAAAAAAAAAAAGAAAGAAAAGAAAAAGAAAGAAAAACTTGAAATGTCTTTCCTACTCTCTGCCAATCTGTATCCATCACTTCCTCCCAGTGTCGATCCAAAATTTAATTTTCTTCAGGGAGACATACCTTTCTGACCACTTATTGACTTCCTATTCTCTAATCACTTAAGCTCTGTGGTGCTTCTTAATGCGGTCCTTGTTAACTCCTTCAAGTGACTATTGTCTCTAACAGAACTGGGACTGATCCTTTGTTTCTTTGTTATCTGAGCTGAACTTAGCACGTAATGGCACTCAATGCTGTCTTCAAGAGAAGATTCAGATGTTATTACCACTGCTTGTCATAAAAATCAGAATTTAGTTGTTTAATAAGTCATTGAAAAAGAAACATGCAGAAAAATAGTAAAGCATAAAAATGACCAGCAGTGGCTCATGCATGTCATCCCAGCACTTTGGGAGGTTGAGGCAGGCCAATCACTTGAGTCTAAAAGTTTGAGACCAGACTGGGCAACATTGGTGAAACCTCGTCTCTACAAAAATACAAAAATTAGCCAGGCGTGGTGGCACATGTCTGTAGTCCCAGTTATTCCCAGAGGCTCAGGTGGGAGGACTGCTTGAGCCTGGCAGGTGGAGGCTGCAGTAAACCAAGATCTCGCCACTGAACTCCAGCATGGGTGACAGAGTGAGACCCTGTCTAAAAAAAAAAAAAAAAAAAAAGACAAGCATGTGGATAAACTGATACATGGAAATGTGTACATAAGCCAAGTGAAAAAAAGCAAAAGCCTCAAATCATTTATAAAGCATAAATAAAAAATAAACACAAAATAAAAATATCACAAAATAATACACTGATTTCAACTCAGTAAAATATCTGTTGTGTACATTTACTTTGTACAATGTAAATTGTACTAGAGATGAAGATGACTTTTATCCTGTAAATTTGTTGGAATATAATAAAAATGAAAACATAAAGCCGAGTGTGTTGGCTCACACCTGTAATCCCAGCACTTTGGGAGGCCAAGGTGGGCAGATCACCTGTGGTTGGGAGTTCGAGACCAGCCTGACCCACACGGAGAAACCCCCATCTCTACTAAAAATACAAAATTAGCTGGGCTTGGTGGCGCATGCCTATAATCCCAGCTACTTGGGAAGGCTGAGGCAGGAGAATCACTTGAACCTGGGAGGTGGAGGTTGCGGTGAGCCGAGATCGCGCCATTGCACTCCAGTCTGAGCAACAAGAGCAAATCTCCATCTCAAAAAAAAAAAAGAAAAGAAAAAGAAAACTTAAGAGATGAGTGACAAAAGTTGTGAGTTCTGGTTCTTTGGTATATATATATAGGAGTATATTTCTTCCCTCTCCCTTCCCTTCTTCCACAAGTCCACAAGAATTGATGAAGCATGTATTCTTTGTTTTTTTTAGACAAGGTCTTGCTCTGTCACCCAGGCTGGAGTGCAGTGGTGCAATCACAGCTCACTGCAGCTTCGACCTCCCAGGCTCAAGCAATTCTCTTACTTCAGCCTCCAGAATAGCTGAGAGTACACAGGCATGTGCCACCATGCCTGGCTAATTTTTTAGTATTTTGTAGAGAAGGGGTCTCACTATGTCACCCAGGCTGGTCTGGAACTCCTGGGCTCAAGTTATCCTCCCACCTCAGCCTCCCAAAGTGCTGGGATTATAGGCATGACCCACTGTGCCTGGCTCTAAAGCACCTATTCTGTACGCGGCATCAGAGGTAAATCCATTACCAGGCAATTATTCTAATACTCTTTAATGCTGGAGAACCACTGCACTAAGGCATAGAATACACTAGTTCAACGGTTTTCAAATTGTAGCATGCATCAGAATGACCTGGAGGGCTTGTTAAGCCTGCTGGCTGCATCCCAGGAGTTTCTGATTCAATAGGTCTGGGGTGGAACTGCGCATTCCCATCTCTAATAGGTTCCCAGGTGATGCTGACACACTTTGAGGATCACTGCTCTAGTGTTTCTCTGATGCTAACTATGTGGAACAAATTATTGCATATCATTTGGCTTCTTCTTGCTTAAGCCCCACATCGTATTCCCTTGTGAGCTAACCTATTGTCTGCCTCCAAAGTACCTCCCCTCTGTTTACACTTAATTTTTCTTCCTCTACAGCTTCTATGTAAAAATATCACCATCTTGTAAAATAGAATTATTTCCTGTCTAACTTATCTACACTGAGAGAGAGAGAGCTATAATTAAAAGTTTTCCAGAACTGGGCGCGGTGGCTCACGCCTGTGATTGCAGCACTTTGGGAGGCCTAGGCGGGTGGATCACCTGAGGTCAGAAGTTCGAGACCAGCCTGACTAACATGGCAAAACCCTGTCTCTACCAAAAATACAAAAATTAGCCAGGCATAGTGGTAGGCACCTGTAGTCCCAACTACTTGGGAGGCTGAGGCAGGAGAATCGCTTGAACCCGGGAGGCGGAGGTTGCCGTGAGCCGAGATAGCGCCATTGCACTCCAGTCTGGGTGACAGAGCAAGACTCTGTCTCAAAAATAAAATAGAATAAATAAAATAAAGTTTTCCAGGGCATTTTTTTTTTTGAGACGGAGTCTTGCTCTGTTACCCAGGCTGGAGTGCAGTGGCGCGATCTCGGCTCACTGCGGGGTTCACGCCATTCTCCTGCCTCAGCCTCCTGACTAGCTGGGACTACAGGCGCCTGCCACCACGCCCGGCTAATTTTTTTATGTTTTTAGTAGAGACGGGGTTTCACCTTGTTAGCCAGGATGGTCTCAATCTCCTGACCTCGTGATCCGCCCGCCTCGGCCTCCCAAAGTGCTGGGATTACAGGCGTGAGCCACCGCGCCTGGCCCCAGAACAATTTTTTAATGACTGCTTTACTTACTATCCAAAGCTAATGTTTAATCCTGGCATTGTGAGACTCTGCACACACCTAAAGTGTTTGGTTTCATCATACCTCTAGCCTCAAACTACCTATCATTGACATGTAATCTCTACTGATTTTATCCTTAACTTTACAGTGGTCTGAAAAAGTAATAGGAGACTTAAGACCTTGCTTATGTTGTTCTGTCCTCAAAGGTTCTTGAAAACTGACTTCACAAAGACACAGAAACTAAAGCAAAGGGCACGCATACTAGTTTGAGAGTGTGTGAGCTATCAGAAGTGAGAAGAATGCTGTCACCACATGACAAATGTTCTTGCGGCAGCTGGGAAGGCATACATAGCTTCCAGTATGATACAGTATATTTTTGTCTGGAGTCACGTAGTCCCAGTCCCTGCCTTTAAATATCTAGGTTGCTCTTTGAAAGGACAGTCCAAATACCAGATCGTTTAAGATTTCTAATTATTACATAAGCAATAGAGAATTACAAATCTGTTTCTTAAACTTTCCTATGTCAAGGTTGAAACTAGGAACAACATAATATGTTCCTCATTGATGGGATCTTATTTTGGCAGACTTACACAGTCTTTATTTCATACAGTATGATGTGTCTATATTTAGCTAGTTGTTCCTTTCTGGGCCCTTGAAGTAACTTTTTTTGGCTTTGCTGCCCTTAAAGGAAAAGGAGAGATCTATTAACATGAATGAGAACTGGCCACAAATGGGTTTTTAAAAAGCAATAGAATTCCTGAGATGAGGTTTAGGTTTTCTTCAATTGCCAAAACTAATGCACTATTGTTGCTGACCCAGTGAAGAGGGTTAGCTCTCTACAAAATGATCAAATAGATAAATTTGTCTTCAGACCTCTAGGACTTCTCTATTCTGACCCCTTTACCTCCTTGGGTGGTGTCACCCTGATTCTCATATCCCCCACATGGTTGTATGGTTATTAAAATACTTTCCGAAATCTTCCATTACAAGATAGCGGTATCATTCATTCATTCAGCCAATATTTAACTTGCAACTATCAGGGATCAAGCATCAGTAACAAAATAATATATCTACCCTCACTGAGCTTTTACTCTAGTGTCAGGAGATAGCAATAAATAGATGAATACATATATACATATTGATTATATCAGATGATAATACAGACTATGGAGAAAAATAAAAAGAGGAAGGGTGTGATGGTTAATACTGGGACCTAGTGATCGTGTAAGTTAATACTTAATAAACTCCTATATATATATATATCTCCTATTAGTTCTGTCCCTCTAAGAGAGCCCTGACTAGTACAAAGAGTAATAGGGGGCTGGGCACGGTGGCTCATGCCTGGGATCCCAGCACTTTGAGAGGCCGAGTCAGATGGATCACCTGAGGTCGGGAGTTTGAGACCAGCCTGGCAAACATGGTGAAAGCCGCCTTTACTAAAAACACACACACAAAAAAAATAGCGGGGTGCGGTGGTGCAAGCCTGTAATGCCAGCTACTCGGGAAGCTGAGCCAGGAGAATGGCTTGAACCCGGGAGGTGGAGGTTGCAGTGAGCCAAGATTGTGCCACTGCACTCCAGCCTGGGCCACAGGGCAAGACTCTGTCTCAAAAAACAACAACAGCAACAACAGCAGCAACAAAAAAGGTAATAGGGAGTTCAAAGGGATGGTGTGTGTGATGTTGCAAGTGTAGTTAACCTGGAGTGGTCTTGGTTAGAAGATAGCATTTGAGCAAAAACCTGAAGGAGGTGAGATAGGGAGCTATTTGTAGTAGGGTTTGAGGGAAGACTTTCAGGCCCAAGGATAGCAAGTGCAAAGGCCCTGAGGTGTGAGTGTGTCTTCTTTGTTGAGATGCAATAAGGAGTTCAACATAGATGGTGTGGCATGAACAAGGGAGTGGGTGGTAGGAGATGAGGCCAGAGTGCTGCAGTTCAGATGATATAGGGCCTTGGGGCTCACTGTAAAAAAATTTTATTTTGATTCTGAGGGAGACGAGAAACCATTGGAAGGTTTTGAGCAGAATGACATGGTCTAAAACAGCTTAAAGTATGGTCTTTTCCAGGACTGCAAAGTTGTAGAGATAAAATAATGACTATATATATATTATTATGTGTAATATAATGGTAATAGAAACAGCCATCTTATATTGAACAATTAATATGTGCAGGCTCTGTGATAAACATTTTACAAGGAGATTCTGAAACATAATTTCAGGGATAGGAAGAAACTTTTTGGTAGGGATGTCTTCCTCCTGAAATCACCTCACTTTCTCTCTTCCCCTGCCTACAGACAAGAGCAGCCATGCAGTGCTCTGAATTTTGCTGGTGATGTGGGAGTTAAGCTACTCTTTAGTGACAAGAGGTAAAATAAGAAAAAGTTTTAGATTACATTGTTCCAGAAATATTATTCTTACTGTAAACTCATCATTAAAGAGGAAACCATCATTGCTAAATCACAATTTAAAAAAATGCTGACCAACTTTAGCACCTCATATGCATTCAATGCTATGTGCATGGATTCCTTCTCCTGGATCTTAAGCTCCTTCTAGGGTGAGGGCAATTTTTCCCTTTCTAAATTCTTTGCTGGAACCAAGATTTATATTGAGAGTCTCTGACACTGATGACTAATGCAAAGTCTGATATAACTTTGCTGTCAATTCAATCATGCTGGCTCTATGGCAGCATGCTGGAAAATTCCTGGGTCTGGGTTCTACTGGTCATTCTTTGAAATTCTCAGTCCTTTTTTTTTCTTTGCCATGCCCTCAAGTAGACTCCATAACCTGGGATATGTGTAAGTGAATGACAGCACTGGGCACCATTTTTCTGTGTTGAAAGACCAGGGAGTGTTCTCTCTCCCTTGAAAAAATTCTCAGATATCTATGCTGGCAAAGAATTGAACTCATGTTTATTATGTGCTTATCTATTTAATTCACTTGCAACAAATACCCATGAGACAGCATTCTAGGTCTGATAAGAAACAAAGGCTTAAAAAACTATCTCCCTGGCACCGTATTAATCCTTTGGAATATATTATTTCATTTAACTTTTACAATTGGAGTTAGGTATTGTTAGTCCCATTTTGCCTAAGGAAATTGAAGCTTAGAGAAGTAAAATTGTTTGATGAAGTTCCTACAACTAATGAAGTTAAGTGAAGTTAGGTGTAAGATTTCAAGTTTATCTGACATTAAAGCCCATGTTTTACCAGCACAAATGGTAACATTAAAAAAAAAAATAGATCACAGCAAGAATCACTAAGGAAAAAAAATAGAATACCAATATCAAGCATACAGTCTATATACAGTTTCATTGTTCTGTGGAACATTAAACATAATTAAACCATTTAAATTGTGTATTACTATGGCAAGAGATCTCTTTGATCTTTTATTGAGGCAAAAATGTTGCCCAAACACAAGAAAGCTCCCTAAGGCAATACTGATTACTAGCAACCCTAAGAAATCAGCACTAGCTGGAATGTCTTGGGCATTTTTATTGTAGGGTTAGTATGGAAGAGTGGGAGTTGAGACTTAGCATGTCTTATTGTGGGTCTCAAGGGCAGGACGGAGGAGGGAGGTAAAGGGCAGGCACTTGGTATTGGGCAGGGGTCCAGATGCAAGATGAGAAGCAACAGCAGCTGAGGACCCAGTAAGAAGACACATGTGCTTCTGAAACCTGTCCTTCCCCTTTAACCTTGACTTTCTTTTTCCACTTCCTTTTACATCCAGCATCAACCTTCCCTCACTTTGTTTTCTGTCCCCTAAACTGAATAGGTAAGGCTTCCTAAACACCTCTGAGAAAAACATCACAAAGATATGAAACTTTAGTTCAAGGATGCTGCATTTGTTTTTTTCCAAAATGAAAAATTTGGTTTTTCTCCATTTTTTTATGACAAGCAACACGGACAAGTACAGGAGAAGTTCAAGGGACATATATTCATACATGTACATAGAAAAAAAGGATACAAAATGGCATATACTAGGAGTTAGTGTTGTTGCTTGGATTTTTTTTTGAGATGGAGTCTCGCTCTTGTTGCCCAGGCTGGAGTGCAATGGCACAATCTCAGCTCCCCACAACTTCTGCCTCCCAGGTTCAGGTGATTCTCCTGCCTCAGCCTCCCAAATAGCTGGGATTACAGGCATGCACCACCACGCCCGGCTAATTTTGTATTTTTGGCAGAGACAGGGTTTCTCCATGTTGGTCATGCTGGACTTGAACTCCCGACCTCAGGTGGTCTCCCCGCCTCAGCCTCCCAAAGTGCTGGGATTACAGGCGTGAGCCACTGAGCCCGGCCTATTTATAACATTCTTAAGTAAACAGATGTTGCATTTTTAATAATTATGAAAGATTATTTTTAATTTTAAAATATGCATAAATGATTACTTACCAATATTTAAGGTGAAAAGCCGACAAATAAGTTGGAAAGGCTGTTAGGACAGATGCAGCACCAAGATATTATTACAGATGCTCAAAACAATAGGTGAATAGTTAAGGAAAATCTATAGAGGATCTGGCATGGAGGCTTCTGTAAACCCACCTTAGCTCTTTGGGAAAGTCTGTGCAGTGAACTTCATGGAGTGCTGAGGACAGAGTAAGACATCCACTTAGCTTGACAGATCAACTTAATTAAACTCTGTGATGGATGGGCCAACAATAGTCAAAGATAGATCATATTAATATCCAAGTAAATTCCACAGAAAATGAATAAATGAACAGATGAAAGAAATTAGGTAAGAGAGTTAGTAAAACTGGCTCTCATCTATTGTACATACAATGTGCAAGATGCTGTGCTAAACACTCCATTACTGATCCTTAAATTGACTGCCAAGAAAGGTACCATTATCACCATCTGCATCCTTCTTTTACAGCTGAGGATTTCTTTCATTTCTTCATCTATTCATTTATTCCATAGAATTTTTATAGTCATCAAAAAGGTATGTTCATGAAAACTTTATGGGGAGAAAGGTTAAGTGAATAAGTCAGGATACAAAATTGTATTTATAGTAGAAATACAAGTAAGTTTTTTAAAAAAATAAAAATAATCTGAGCATTAAAAAATTACTGGAATGAGATCCACCAGGAGTTTAGCAGCGACTGTGACTGAGTGGTGGGACTGAGTAAACAGTTTTTCCAATTTTTATCTTTCTGTATTCCTATGATTTTTAAAAGATTTGTGTTACCTTAGAAGTAAAATCAGGCCGGGGTTGGTGGCTCACGTCTGTAATCCCAGCACTTTGGGAGGCCGAGGCGGGTGGATCACCTGAGGTCAGAAGTTCAAGACCACCCTAACCAACATGGTTAAACCCCGTCTCTACTAAAAATACAAAATTAGTTGGCTGGGTGTGGTGGCTCACGTCTGTAATCCTAGCACTTTGGGAGGCCGGGGTGGGTGGATCACCTGAGGTTGGGAGTTCGAGACCAGCCTGATCAACACGGAGAAACCCCATCTCTACTAAAAATACAAAAGTAGCCAGGCTTGGTGGCACATGCCTGTAATCCCAGCTACTCTGGAGGCTGAGGCAGGAGAATCGCTTGAACCCAGGAGGCGGAGATTGCAGTGAGCCAAGATTGTGCCATTGTACTCCAGCTTGGGCAACAAGAGTGAAAACTCCATCTCAAGAAAAAAAAAAGGCCGGGCGAGGTGGCTCACGCCTATAATCCCAGCACTTTGGGAGGCTGAGGCAGGCGGATAACGAGGTCAGGAGATTGAGACCATCCTGGCTAACACGGTGAAACCCCGTCTCTAAAAAAAAAAGAAAATACAAAAATTAGCCTGGGAGACAGAGCAAGACTCTGTCTCAAAAAAAGAAAAAAAAAAATTTAAATGACATGTTAAGAGAACCATATTGAGGGATAAAAATATCAGGTGCAAAACTGAATATAAAGTATGATTCCAATTATATTATGTTACATATATCTTAGATAATACATAAATTATAAATCAAAAGAAATAATATGTTAAGAATTTCAAAGTGAAATGAATACATGTTAAAATTTCAAGGTTTTGGCTGGGTGTGGTGGCTCACGTCTGTAATCCCAGCAGACTTGGCTGAGCAGGCGGATCACTTGAGCCCAGGAGTTCGAGATCAGCCTAGTCAACATGGCGAAAATCCATCTTTACAAAAAATACAAAAATTATCTGAGTGTGCTGGTGCGCACCTGTAATCCCAGCTACTCAGGAGGCTGAGGTGGGGGGATCACCTGAGCCTGGGAGGTCAAGGCTGCGGTGAGCCGTGATGGTGCCACCGCACGCCAGCCTGGGTGACAGAGTGAGACCCTGTCAGAAAAATAAATAAATAAATAAATAAATAAATAAATAAATAAATATTTCAAGATTGTAATACCTTGGTGGAGATTTTAATTTTTCTTTATATTTTATTTTTCTCTTAAAAATATCTTCAGTGAATAGTACAATCAGAAAAAAATGTTCTTGAAATATATGCTTCTAAAATCCACTAAACTGAAAGTGTTCTCTGCTCTTATCATCTCAGCATGTACCACATTTACTGGCATTCTGCTAGCATGCAGAAATACTTGATAAATAAATATCTGAAAGGATAAATGAACAAATGAACAGATGAAATAAGATAGTCATGTGCATTCAGGCCACTTGGTTATCTTTTCCCCATGCCTCACATCCAATCCATTTTCAGATTTCGTCAGCCTTCCCTTCATAAACAACACAAATCTGACCTCTTTCACCTTGAACACTGGTACCATTATAGTCTAAGCTACCATGCTTGCTCAACTGGACCATTGCAATAGCATCTTAACTGGCACTGCTACTTCTGTTCCTGACCCCTACAACCTGTTCTCAATAAAGCAGGCAGAGTATGACAGAACTTAATCACTCCTCTCTTCTAAAACCCCCAGTGACTTTCAGTGTCAAGCAAAAGGAAGTCTAAAGTCCTTCTAGTGGACCATCAGGCCTGTGTATCCACCCCCACCCCATATCCTCTGACCTCATCTTCTACTCGATCACAGCACTCCTACTACATTAGCTTTTTGTTCTTGCCTTAGGTTCTTTGCACCTGTTTGTCTTCTGCCTGGAATGCTTTTCCCCAAAATAACTGCAAGCCTTGCTCCATCACTTCATTTAGGTCCTCTGCAAATGTCACCATATCAGAGAGGACTTCTTAGATTCTCCTATTAAAAATAGCACCATTTCCCCCGTTCACTCCCCTGTTATTCTCAGTCCTCTTACTCTGCTTTGTTTTTCTTCATAGCCCTTATAACCACCTGATATTATGTATATTTATTTGTTTAACATCTATGTTCTCTCATACCCAATGGCCAGAATATAAGTTCTATTAAAACAAGGGCTTTTCCTATTTTTTTTTCCTCTGCAGCACATAAGATTAATGCCTTATAAAAGTAATTTTTTGAAAACTAAGACACAGGCCAGGCGCGGTGGCTCACGCCTGTAATCCCAGCGCTTTGGGAGGCCAAAGTGGGTGGATCACCTGAGGTTGGGAGTTCGAGACCAGCCTGACCAACATAGAGAAACCCCTTCTCTACTAAAAATACAAAATTAGCCGGGCATGGTGGCATGCACCTGTAATCCCAGCTACTCAGGAGGCTGAGGCAGGAGAAGCGCTTGAACCCAGGAGGCAGAGGTTGAGGTGAGCCGAGATGGAGCCATTGCACTTGAGCCTGGGCAACAAGAGTGAAACTCCGTCTCAAAAAAAAAAAAAAGAAAAAGAAAAAGAAAAAGAAAAAAGAAAAGAAAAGAAAAGAAAACTAGGACACAAATAATGTCAAAAGATTAATGATACGTTCTCCTCTCTAAATTATCTCAAAGATTGTAATAAGGACACCCTATCTTCATTTCCTTCTTAACCTCAACTTTGAAAGACGAAAGGTTCCAAAATGTCCAATTGTTTTAAAATAATGTGTTAAGCCTAGCTGTACTATAAGAATTACCAGACATCTGGTATAATTACCATAATGTACCTTGCATACTAAATTATGAATATGTTAATTGCATTATTAAAATATTTTAATATATGGTTAACATTAATTTATAATGCCGATATTTCAAGACCACCTGGTCCCAATTCTGCCGCTGACACTAGCAGGTTGACCTTGGGCAACTTGCTTAAACCAGCTCCGTCCCATAGAAGCATAATGTGAGACACAGAAGTAATTTAAATTTTTCTTTTTTTTTTTTTTTGAGGTGGAGTTTTGCTCTTGTTGCTCAGGCTGGAGTGCAATGGCATGATCTCGGCTCACTGCAACCTCTGCCTCCTGGGTTCAATCGATTCTCCTGCTTCAGCCTCCCAAGTAGCTGGGATTACAGGCATGTGCCACCACACCCGGCTAATTTTTGTATTTTTAGTAGAGATGGGTTTTCACCACGTTGGTCAGGCTGGTCTCGAACTCCCAACCTCAGGTGATCCACCCACCTTGGCCTCCCAAAGTGCTGGGATTACAGGCATGAGCCACCACGCCCAGCCTAACTTAAAATTTTCTTTTCTTTTTTATTTGAGATGGAGTCTTGCTCTGTCGCCCAGGCTGGAGCACAATGGCGTGATCTCGGCTCACTGCAAGCTCCACCTACCGGGTTCACACCATTCTCCTGCCTCAGCCTCCCAAGTAGCTGGGACTACAGGTGCCCAGCACCACGCCTGGCTAATTTTTGTATTTTTAGTAGAGACGGTGTTTCACCGTGTTAGCCAGGATGGTCTCAATCTCCTGACCTTGTGATCCACCCGCCTCGGCCTCCCAAAGTGCAGGGATTACAGGTGTGAGCCACTGCGCCTGGCTAATTTAAAATTTTCTAGTAACCAGATTAAAGAACGTGAAAAGAAACAGGTGAAATTAATTTTAATAATGTATTTCACTTAAGCCAATATATCCAAAAAATTTCAACATATAATTAATGTAAACTAATGTTAATGAGATAGTTTAAAGTCTTTGAAATCTAGTGTGTGCTTTACACTTAGATCACAATTCCGACAAGCCGCCTTTTTTTTTTTTTTTTTTTTTTGAGACAGAGTCTCACTTCATCACCCAGGCTGGAGTGCAGTGGTACGATCTCAGTTGTAAGATTTCGGCTCACTGCAACCTCTGCCTCCCAGGTTCAAGTGATTCTTGTTCCTCAGCCTCCCAAGTAGCTGGGATTAGAGACACCTGCCACCACACCTGTCTAATTTTTGTGCTTTTAGTAGAGACGGGGTTTCACCATGTTGGCCAGGCTGGTCTTGAACTCCTGACCTCAAGTGATCCACCCGCCTCAGCCTCCCAAAGTGCTGAGATTACAGGCGTGAGCCACCACGCCTGGCCCAGACAAGCCATGTTTCAAGAGCTCAATTGTTACATGAGCTAATGGATATGACATTGGACAGCACAGACTCAAACTTCTGCCTCAGTTTTCTTATCTGTTAAGTATGTATAATAATAGTATCTGTCAGCTGGGTGCAGTGGCGCACACCTGTAGTTCCAGCTACTGGGGAAGCTGAGGCAGGAGGATTGCTTCAACCCAGGGGTTCAAGGCTGCAGTGAGCTATGATCTATCATGTCACTGTATTCCAATCTGGATGACAGAGGGAGTCCCCATCTCTTAAAAAAAAATATGTGTATATATATAATAAATCAGTTAATTAAGAAAATGCTATCTGTCTCATATGATTGAGTTTGTTAATGGATACAACAAAGTGCTTACGACACACTCAGAATTTTAAAAGTAAAACGTTGTTGTCTGGGCATGGTGTCTCACGCTTGCAATCCCAGCACTTTGGGAGGCCAAGGTGGGTGGATCATCTGAGGTCAAAAGTTCGGGACCAGCCTGGCCCTGGCCAACATGGTGAAACCCCATCTCTACTGAAAATGCAAAACATTATCCGCAGTGGCACATGCCTGTAACCCCAGCTACTCGGGAGGCTGAGGCAGGAGAATTGCTTGAACCCTTGAGGCAGAGGTTGGAGCGAGGTGACATTGCACCACTGCACTCCAGCCTGGGCAACAGAACAAGACTCCATCTCAAAAAAATAATAAATAAAAATAAAAATAAAAAAATAAAAAGCAAAACGTTGTTAGTGGCTGGAGCAGCTCAGTGGTCAGAGGCTGGGAACCACCCCACATCATTTCCTTAGCTTGCTTCACACAGGAAGATAACCCAAGACCCTCTGTAAGAGTGACCTGATGGTCTAGGGAAGAGTTCGTTGCCACTCATAGTAGAGGAGATCTCATGACAGGAGGATGAGCAAAGCTGTAATCACAGGTGAGCAAAGATCACAGAGGGCACTGATAGCATACAATTGAAAAAGATCACAAGATTTGCCCAGTAAAACATTAATGATTTTGTTGAGATGGTTAGTGTTATCTCTTTAATGACTGATACATAACCCTATCTTATTTTAGCTCATTTCTGCAATAGAAAGTGCCAAATAAGCAACTGCTCTTAAATTACTATCTTAATCTATTTGCAAACAATTCAGTAAAAAAAGTGTTTTGGGGCCAGGCGCAGTGGCTCACACCTGTAATCCCAGCACTTTGGGAGGCCGAGTCTGGTGGATCACGAGGTCAGGAGTTGGAGACCATCCTGGCTAACATGGTGAAACCCTGTCTCTACTAAAAATACAAAAATTAGCTGGGCATGGTGGTGTGCGCCAGTAATCCCAGTTACTCGGGAGGCTGATGCAGGAGAATCACTTGAACCCGGGAGGTGGAGGTTACAGTGAGCTGAGATTGCGCCACTGTACTCCAGCCTGGGCGACACAGAGAGACTCCATCTCAAAAAAAAAGAAAGAAAAAAAGTGTTTTTATCTCAATTTTTCAGGTTAGGGATTCTATAGACGAAAATGAAGGGAAAATAGCTAAGTTACACAAAGGTCACCCAAATGGACAGAACAAAATTTTGGACCTGGGTTCATCTGATTCCCAAGCTCATGTTATTTTCATTTACTAAAAAGTACCATAGATTACGCCAGATATTTAAATCAAATAGAATTTAAAATGTGTCTTTTCACAATACCATATCTTATCACTATTTCCTATATAGGTGCATGTTCAAATATTAATTCCTCTTTTTGTGGATTTTATTTATTTATTATTATTTTTGAGACAAGGTCTTGCTTTGTCACCCAGGTTTGAATGCACTGGTATGATCATAGCTCACTGCAACCACAAACTCCCCTGTTCAAGAGATCCTCCTGCTTTAGCCTCTGGAGTAGCTAGGACTACAGGCGCACACCACCATGCCTGGCTAGTGTATTTTGTTTGTTTGTTTTTGTTTTTAATGTTTAGTAGAGATCATGTCTTGCTACATTGCCCAGGTTGGTCTTGAAATCCTGGGTTCAAGCGATTCTCGCACCTTGGTCTCCCAAAATGCTGGGATTACAGGCATGAGCCACTGTAAGGCCTAGCCTTTTGTGGACTCTAGTTTTTAAAATGGTACTACATTTTACATATTAATGCCACATTTGTCAAGAGCCCAAAGAATCAGGAAGTAAGGAATTATTCTGAGTAGGAAAAATAGTTGTCATAAAGTTCGGTGCCCTGGATTCAAGACTATTCTCTTTTAAAAAAAATTGTTTTTTCTTTAATCAACCCCCAAGTGTTTGGACAAGACCAATCTCATAAGAATCTTCAGGGCCTCATTCTGAATCTATTGGTTTGCATTTTGCATGAAGTTACAGCAGTTCTCATGATGTGGCTTCCAACCTTATAACAGATCAGAATGGTGTTAGAGGAAAATCAGCTGCTTCAGGTGGCATATCAATGACAATTAAGCAACAAGTGATTTCCTGTCAGCACGGAAGAAAACAAAAATTTTAAAGGAAAACTCAAGCCCTCCAAAGAACATTAGTAAAGTGTCATTTAGTAGGGCCAAATGGTCCTGGTGTTTTTAGAAGGCAGAGAGGTTCTAATACATCTTAGAAATGTTCCTACATACGGTCGGGTGCGCCTGAAATCCCAGCACTTTGGGAGGCCAACGCGGGCGGATCACGAAGTCAGGAGTTTGAGAACAGCCTGGCCAACATGGTGAAACCCCGTCTCTACTAAAAATACAAAAAAGTAGCCGGGCATGGTGGCGAGTGCCTGTAATCCCAGCTACTCAGGAGACTGAGGCAGGAGAATTGCTTGAACCCAGGAGGCAGAGATTGCAGTGAGCTGAGGTCCTGCTACTGCACTCCAGCCTGGCCTGGGTGGCAGAGTGAGACTCCATCTCAAAAAACAAACAAACAAAAAATCATTGTATGTAGGAACATTTCTCTCTTTCTTTCTTTCTTTTTTTGAGTCAGAGTTTCACACTGTCGCCCGGGCTGCAGTGCAATGGCATGATCTCGGCTCACTGCAACCTCCGCCTCCCGGGTTCAAGCAATTCTCCTGCCTCAGCCTCCCAAGTAGCTAGGATTATAGGCATGCACCACCACGTCCAGCTAATTTTTGTATTTGTAGTAGAGACGAGATTTTATCATGTTGGCTAAGCTGGTCTCCAACTCCTGACCTCAGGAAATCCGCCTGCCTCATCCTCCCAAAGTCCTGGGATTACAGGCATGAGCCACCACACCCCGCCTACAATAATTAATATAAAAATATCTTGGGCCAGGTGCGGTGGCTCATACCTGTAATCCCAGCACTTTGGGAGGCCAAGGCGGGTGGATCACCTGAGGTCAGGAGTTCAAGACCAGTCTGGCCAACATAGTGAAACCCTGTCTCTACTAAAAATACAAAAAAAAAAAAAATTAGCTGGGCATGGTGGTGGGTACCTGCAATCCCAGCTACTTGGGAGGCTAAGGCAGGAGAATTGCTTGAACCCGGGAGGCAGAGGTTGCAATGAGCTGAGATCACGCCATAGCATTCCAGCCTGGACAATGGAGCGAGAATCTGTCTCAAAAAATATATATATATAATATAAAAATATATATTTAAATATATAAAAATATATAGTTATATTTATATAATATATTTATATATTTAAATAGATAGTTTTATATATATTTATATATTATTTATATTATTTATATATTATATATTTATATATTATTTATATATTTATATAAATATGTATTTATAAATATTTATATAAATATATATATTTATAAGTATTTATATATATATTTATAAATATGTATATAAATATATATTTATAAAAATTTATAAATATATATTTATAAATATATATTTATATATATTTATATATATATATTTTTATATATTTTTATATATATTTATATAAAATATAAATATATATATTATATAAATATATAAATATATTTATATAATATATAAAATATGTATAAATGTATACATATAGGAGCTTGTAAGGAACCCTGTTAGCTACCATCAAAAGTCTCCATGCATCCATCCGTCCATCTATCCATCCATCCATCCATCATCCATTCACCCATTCATTACTGTATTTAAATGGAATGTGTATCTAGGGAGCTTATGTTCAAGTAGGGGGGAGACATGTAAATCATCACAGTAGAGTGACAGTATAGTACAATGCCTGACACATAGTAGGTACTCAAAAGTATTTATTGAGTAAGTGAAAGAATGCATAATATAGGTAAAATAAGAGCATAAAAGAGAGAAATTTTTAACATGGCAAAACCCTGTATCTACCAAAAAATTTAAAAATTAGCTGGCCTGGTGACATGCAACTATAGTCCCAGCTACTTGGGAAGCTGATGTGGGAGGATGTCTTTAGCCCAGGTGGTCTAGGCTGCAGTGAGCCGTTATCACATCACTGCGCCCCATTCTGGGTGACACAGCAAGACCTTGTCTTAAAAATAAACAAATAGTACGCCGGGCACGTTGGCTCATGCCTGTAATCCCAGCACTTTGGGAGGTCGAGGCAGGCGGATTACGAGGTCAGGAGATAGAGACCGTCCTGGCTAGCACAGTGAAACCCCGTCTCTACTAAAAATACAAAAAATTAGCCGGGCATGGCGGTGGGCGCCTGTAGTCCCAGCTGCTCGGGAGGCTGAGGCAGGAGAATGGCGTGAACCCGGGAGGCGGAGCTAGCAGTGAGCCGAGATCGTGCCACCGCATTCCACCCTGGGCAACTGAGTAAGACCAGTCTCAAAAAATAAAAATAAAAATAAAATAAATAAATAAATAGCTTGCTGCCACCAACATGGAGACTTTGTACCGTGTCCCATTCTTAGTGCTTAAATGTCCCAACCTGAAGCTGAAGAAGCCGCCCTGGCTGCACATACCATCGGCCATGACTGTGTATGCTCTGGTGACGGTATCTTACTTCCTCATCACTGGAGGAATAATTTATGTTGTTATTGTTGAACCTCCAAGTGTGGCTCTATGACTGATGAACATGGGTATCAGAGGCCAGTACCTTTCTTGGTCTACAGGGTAAATGGACAATATATTATGGAACGACTTGCATCCAGCTTCCTGTTTACCATGGGAGGTTTAAGTTTCATAATCCTGGACCCATTGAGTGCACCAAAGATCCCCAAACTCAATAGATTTCTTCTTCTAGTCATTGGATTTGTCTGTGTCCTATTAAATTTTTTCATGGCTGGAGTATTCATGAGAATGAAACTGCCGGGCTATCTGATGGGTTAGAGTGCCTTTGAGAAGAAATCAGTGGATACTGGATTTGCTCCTGTCAATGAAGTTTTAAAGACTGTACCAATCCTCTAATATGACATGTGGAAAAGAATGAAGAGCAGCAGTAAAAGAAATATCCAGTGATAAAAACAGGAAGCGTATTGAAGCTTGGACTAGAATTTCTTGGTATTAAAGAGACAATTTTATTACAGTATCTTTTTTTCCTGCTGTCCTATTGCTATACCAATTATGTTTAGTGGCATTTTCTTCTTAGTTTTTCATTTCTTACTCCATATCTACAACTATAATATCAAATAATTATTTTTTACAGCCCCCTTAACATTTTTTGGAGATGACATTTCTGATTTTCAGAAATTAACATAAAATTAAGAAGCAAGGTTCCATAAGCTGAGAACTCTGGACAGCTTATCAGCTTTACCTATGGTGCTTTGCCTTTAACTAGAGTGTGTGATGGTAGATTATTTCAGATATGTATGTAAGACTGTTTCCTGAACAATAGGATATATGAAAGGAGCAGAAATAAATCATCTTCCTAATTAAAAATAAATAAATAAGGCCAGGCACGGTGGCTCATGCCTGTAATCCCAGCACTTTGGGAGGCTGAGGCAGGCAGATCACGAGGTCAGGAGTTCGAGACCAGCCTGGCCAACATGATGAAACCCCGTCTCTACTAAAAATACAAAAATCAGCTGGGCATGGTGGTGGGCACCTGTAATCCCAGCTACTCAAGAGGCTGAGGCAGGAGAATCGCTTGAACCTGGGAGGCGGAGTTTGCAGTGAGCCAAGATCACGTCACTGCACTTCAGCCTGGGTGACAGAGCGAGACTGTCTCAAAAATAAATGAATGAATAAATGAATTAATTAATAATAAAATAAATAAAGTAGACTGGTGTGGGGTGGGGCTGGGGGTAGCAGAGCCCAGAAGAGGGATCTTGAGCTGTGTTTCATAAAAGTAAGGGAAGCATTTGAATAATAGGGAGCAAGATATTTGAAGGCAAAGTGGTGGTGAAGAGTAAGACATACTCAGGACCCTGTGTGTAGTGCTGGAATGGCTGGTCATGAGGCAGAAGCCACAAGCCAGGACCAGATTGTGAAGAACTTTGTGTATTAAACTGAAGAATTTGGATTTTATTGAATCCAGTGTATCCAATCCAAGCATTTACTGAATACTTGGAGTGGAAGGAGAGGTGCCACCTGGTTAGATTTTTGTTTTAGAAAGATCATTCTAGGATAGATCATAGGATCAGAGTCAGAAAGACCACTCAGGAAGTCCTAGTCCATCTTTAAAATGAGGGGGTAAGTGGGACCGGGAGGATGGTGAGAGTGTGAATAAAGATAGTGGCAAATGCAAAGACAGAGAAGGGAAGTACTACAAAAGAAGTTGGTATGAGGAGAATTCAATGACTGTTGTGGGGAAGATTGGAGGGAGAGAAGGAGATTAGGATAATCCCTAAAATTCTAGATTTCATGTGAAAACACAGAGAAGCAGCTGAAGTTGGTTTTGGACACACAGAGTTTGAAACGCTTAATGGGTCTGAATAGTTGACTTCTGGGGTATGTTTTATCCTCATCCTGGTCTTTTAGCTTTATTATTCTTCATATCTCCATTTGCATGGTTCAAAAAAAAAAAAAGAGCACAGAGAAGGAAAGAAACTTTATTTTTTATTTTTTAATTTTTTTTTGAGATGGAGTTTTGCTCTTGTTGCCCAGGCTGGAGTGCAGTGGGGTGATCTCGGCTCACCGCAACCTCCGCCTCCCGGGTTCAAGCGATTCTCCCACCTCAGCCTCCCGAGTAGCTGGGATTACAGGAATGTGCCACCACACCTGGCTAATTTTGTATTTTTAGTAGAGACGGGGTTTCTCCATGTTGGTGAGGCTGGTCTCGAACTCCCGACCTCAGGTGATCCGCTCGCCTGGGCCTCCCAAAGTGCTGGGATTACAGGTGTGAGCCACTGCGTCCAGCCGAAGGAAAGAAACTTTAAAGGACACAAACTAAAATGTTCCTTGCATGCTCAACTGAATAAAATATTGAGGTAATTATCTTAAAAGTTAACATATAAAGTACTTTTAGCAGAAACAGGAAAACAATTGTTTAGTTATGGGGTCTAGACATTGTTTTCTTTGTCACTGGAATAAATTACTCTCCATTTCTCTCCTGTTCTCTCTGATCTATTTTTGCAAAGTCACATTTATGTACCATCTGCAAACCAATGAAATTTGCTATTCAAATTTTCCTAGTTGGGTATAAATATTCTGCTCCCATTTACAGATCCTTAGATCATATTTTAATTTTAAAAATCATAAGGGGTCAAACACACATTTTCCCATCTAAAAACCTATGTCTAACATTATTTTCTCTCCTCATATTCCCTCCATGATCTCACCAAAAGCTAATACTTTGAAAGAAAGACATTCTATCATATGGCAAAATTCCTTTTTTTTTTTTTTTGAGACTGGGTCTTGCTCTGTCACCCAGGCTGAGATGCAGTGACACAGTCATAGGTCACTGCAGTCTTGAACTCTGGCATCAAGCCATGCTTCTGGCTTAGCCTCCTGAGAAGCTGGGATTACAAATGCAAGCCACTGCACTTAGGCCAGAATTTATATATATATATTTGTAGAATAATTTTATATTCTAGCTTCCTCTTTTAGAAAAGTGCTTCTTGGCCGGGTGCAGTGGTTCACACCTGTAATCCTAGCACTTTGGAGGCTGAGGCAGAAAGATCATTTGAAGGCCAGGCGCAGTGGCTCATGCCTGTAATCCCAGCACTTTGGGAGGCCAAGGCAGGTGGAGTTCAGGTCAGGAGTTCAAGACCAGCCTGATCAACATGATGAAACCCCGTCTTTACTAAAAATACAAAAATTAGCCGGGAATGGTGGCGCGCGCCTGTAATCCCAGCTACTCAGGAGGCTGAGGCAGGAGAATCTGTTGAACCCGGGAGGCAGAGGTTGCAGTGAGCCGAGATCACACCACTGCACTCCAACCTGGGTGATACAGTGAGACTCCTACTCAAAAGAAGAAAAAAAAAAGATCATTTGACCTCAGGAGTTCGAGACCAGACTTGGCAAGATGGTGAAACCCTGTCTCCACCAAAAATACAAAAAATTATCCGGGCGTGGTGGTACATGCCTGTGGTTCCATCTTCTTGGGAGGGTGAGGTGGGAGGATAGCTTGAGCCCAGGGGGTCGAGGCTATAGTGAGCCTAGATGTGCCATTGTACTCCAGCCTGGGTGACAAAGTGAGATCCTGCCTCAAAAAAATTAAAAAAAAAAAAAAAAAAAGGAAAAGTGCTTCTTGACAGAGTACTATCTCACATTTCCTGAAGCTTTTTACAAAGCTGTTTAAACAATTGTGAGGTTCGAAGTGTCCTGAATTTGCAGTTTTCCTCATCTGTCCTTTTCCTTCACAGTTTCCTAACTCCTCTGAATAGGCAATATCATCTTAATCCACTAAGATGAATTTGTCCTTCAAAAGGAAGTTGTTCTAAACACCAGAGCAAGTCCATAGAAGAGTACTTTACCCTTTTGACCTACTCAATTAGCTGGTTTTCACTTTGGCTCTTCATGTACCAAGCATGCTGCCCTGAGGAAATGGAAATTATCCCAGTGGAGAAGAAGGTCAGAAGCCTCTTCTAGAGGTTTCATTCAATCTAGGATTACTATTCTTGTTCCTTAAGGTCAACATAAATAGTGTTGACCAAATGATTAAAATACATACAAACACAGTGGTATTTCCTAACTTTATACATTTCCTATTCGAAAGACTGTCCTGGGCTTCACCCCGGGGCCATATTCACGTGAAGTTACCATTACACTCCTGAATGCAAAAGTAGGCCCATATTAATTTCAATGCAATCTTTGACTCTTACAGTCACTTGTATTTAGTTTCTTTCTTTTTTTTTTTAGATGGAGTTTCGCTGTTGTTGCCCAGGCTGGAGTGCAATGGCGCCATCCTGGCTCACCGTAACCTCCACCTCCCAGGTTCAAGCGATTCTCCTGCCTCAGCCTCCTGAGTAGCTGGGATTATAGGCATGTGCCACCACGCCCGGCTAATTTTTTGTATTTTTAGTAGAGACAGATTTTCTCCATGTTGGTCAGGCTGGTCTCGAACTCCTGACCTCAGGTAATCTGCCCGCCTCGGTCTCACAAAGTGCTAGGATTACAGGTGTGAGCCACCGTGTCCAGCCTGTATTTAGTTTCTTAAAATATATTGTTATAGAAGATGCTGTGGCCGGGAGCGGTGGCTCACGCCTGTAATCCCAGCACTTTGGGAGGCTGAGGCAGGCGGATCATGAGGTCAGGAGATCGAGACCATCCTGGCTAACATGGTGAAACCCTGTCTCTACTAAAAATACAAAAAATACGCCGGACATGGTGGCACGCGCATGTAGTCCCAGCTACTCGGGAGGCTGAGGCCAGAGAATCGCTTGAACCCAGGAGGCGGAGAATGCAGTGAGCTGAGATTGTGCCACTGCACTCCAGCCTGGGCGACAGAGCGAGACTTTGTCTAAAAAAAAAAAAAAAAAAGAAGCTGGGCGCGGTGGCTCATGCCTGTAATCCCAGCGCTTTGGGAGGCTGAGGCAGGCAGATCACCTGAGGTCGGGAGTTCGAGACCAGCCTGACCAACATGGAGAAACCCCATCTCTACTAAAAATACAAAATTAGCCAGGCATGGTGGCACATGCCTGTAATCCCAGCTACTAGGGAGGCTGAGGCAGGAGAATTGCTTGAGCCTGGGAGGCAGAGACTGCAGTGAGCTGAGGTCATGCCATTGCACTCCAGCCTGGGCAACAAGAGTGAAACTCCGTCTCAAAAAAAAAAAAAAAGAAAAGAAAAAGAAGATGCTGTGGTGTCTGAGGTTAACACAGTAGCTGGGACAATAGGCCTGTCTAAATTAGAATCTTCATACCAGACACCACAGCATCTTCTATCACAATAAGGAGAATCCTTGAGACTAGGAGGGCTGCAGTGTGCTATACCAATCACTTGTCTGCACTAAGTTCAGAATCAACATGGTGACTTCCTGAGGGCAGGGGACAACCAGGTTACCTTGGTAGGGGTGAACAGGCCCAGGTTGGAAAGAAAGTAGGTCAAAACTTTCCCGCTGATGAGTAGTGCAATTGTGCCTGTGAATAGCCATTGCACTCAGCTTGGGCAACATAGCAAGACCTGTTTATTAAAGGAAAAAAAATTCTAATTTATACTACTCTACAATAAAAAGGAATGAACCACTGATGCATGCAACAACTAGAATGAATCTCCAGGGAATTTTGCTGAACAAAAAAAGCCAATCTCAGATGGCTACATATTCTATGATTCCATTTATATAACATTTTCGAGATATTACTTTGATAATTTAAAAATTTATTTTAAGGGCCATGTGTGGTGGCTCATGCCTGTAATCCTAGCACTTTGGGAGGCCGAGGCAGGTGGATCACGAGGTCAGGAGTTCAAGACCAGCCTGGCCAAGATGGTGAAACCCCGTCTCTACTAAAAACACAAAAATTAGCCAGGCGTGGTGGCAGGCTCCTGTAATCCCAGCCACTCAGGAGGCTGAGGCAGGGAATTGCTTGAACCCGGAAGGCAGAGGTTGCAGTGAGCTGAGATCATGCCACTGCACTCCAGTCTGGGCGATACAGCAAGACTCTGTCTCAAAAAAAAAAAAGCACATATATTAATATTCATAAATGCATGGAATATTATCGGAAGAATCATAAGAAACTGGTAATAACAGAAACCTTGGGAAATTTGGTGACAAAACAGTAGAGGGTCAGGAGACTCACTTTTTACTGTATTCCTTTCTGTATCTTTTGAATTTAGTACCATGTTAATTATCTACTTAAAAATAAATACAGGCCATATGCGGTGGCTCACGCCTATAATCCCAGCACTTTGGGAGGCCGAGGCAGGCAGATCACCTGAGGTCAGGGGTTTGAGACCACCCTGGTCAACATGGTGAAACCCCGTCTCTACTACAAATACAAAAATTAGCCGGGCATGGTGGCAGGCGCCTGTAATCCCAGCTACTCGGGAGGCTGAGGCACCAGAATCACTTGAACCTGGGAGGTGGAGGTTGCAGTGAGCCGAGACTGTGCCACTACACTCCAGCCTGGGCAACGAAGTGAGCCTCCATCTCAGAAAATAAAATAAAATTACATTAAAATAAATACAATTTTCAAAAAGACACAATGATATAAAACATAAAAGACATTTAAGTTTTCCTTATTTAATCTTCCTACTTAATCTTCACAGACTATTAATGTATTTGGAATCAGTGAACAGCTGTGAATTATAAATCTTTTTCTCTAGTCTCAGTGAGATTTGTCAAAATTCTTTTGGTAACAACTGAAGGGATATGTGGTTAGGAGATAAGAGTCTTGTCAGGAATACTTCATACTGATTAGTGATGCAAAGCTGGCCCTGGGCATGCTGTACCTGGCTGCCAATTATTTGTTGTTTAACCACTAAACAACAGCTAACTAAAAATGGGCAGGGAGCGGTAGCTCACACCTGTAATCCCAGCACTTTGGGAGACTGAAGCGAGTGGATCACCTGAGGTCAGGAGTTTGAGACCATCCTGGCCAACATGGTTAAACCCCGTCTCTACTAAAGATACAAAAATTAGCTGGGCATGGTGGTGTGTGGCTGTAATCCCAGCTACTGGAGAGGCTGAGGCAGCAGAATCAATTGAACCCGGGAAGCGGAGGTTGCAGTGAGCCAAGACTGCCACTGCACACCAGCCTGGGCGACAGAGCAAGACTGTCTCAAAAATAAATAAATAAGTAAGTAAGTAAGTAAATAAATAAATAAATAAATAAATAAATAAATAAATAAATAAATGAAAGGAGTTAGGCACGTGTCCTCCAAGTGCTAAGTTTTATCTAAGGACCATAGACACTGCAGCTTCCATACGCTGCTGTAATCACCTTAGTTTGGCTTCTCATCCTTTGTGGCCAAAATGTATCCTGTGTGGTGATGAGACACGGGAAACTGGTGCCAGGTCCTCCATGGCGCTGCTGCTGTGTTCCCTGTCCTGTGTCCTTTCTGGAAACTAAACTTGGTGCTGACTAAGCCCGTGGTATCTGTGAGCTTGAATAAGTGGAACCTGAAATCCACTCTGGTGGTCTACAGCATGACAATAAACTAAAGGACTGCAGCACTTAGCCAAAATAATAATGAGCTACTTATTCAATCATGAGGGAACACAAGAATACAAATATGATCTTTTATAAACTAGTGATAGAATTTAGCTTTATTGTGCTATGGTTACTCAGTTAATGGGCAAACCCTCTGCAACACTTGTCAGTTACAGACTCCTCATAGCAAATAAGTGGCTGTAGGGAAGAAAGTCACAGAAGCACTTGCAAAAATTTTAATTAGAAAAATGTGTATAAAAAATAGGTTTAGCAGAGTTATGCTTTATGGGCCAAACAGGTTTCAGTTCAGTTTAATTTAACCAGGCTTCCTAAATTTGTTTTTTACCTCTTTCCATTCAACAGAGCATAAATATTAAATGTTATATAAAATATATTTCACTTGAATGCTTTAAATACAATGCAAAATTTGAGCACAAAACAATGCATTATGGCCTCATGAAGAAATTTACAAAACATTGTAATGAAAAATTAACAGCTTCAAGTAAGTACATAGTACTATACAAATGCTTGTCCAACAAATGCCATTTTAAACAGAGGAAGAAAACGCGACCAGTCTGGGCAACATGGTGAGACCCTGTCTTTACAAAAAATATGAAAATTATCCGGGTATGGTGGCAAGCACTTTTAGTGCCAGCTACTTGTGAGGCTGAAGTGGGAAGGTCACTTGAACCCGGGTGGCAGAGGCTACAGTGAGCCTAGATGGCCCACTGCACTCCAGCCTGGGCAACAGAGCGAGACCCTGTCAAGTAATGGATAACCCCACAAGACTGCCTTATAGCCTGATCACGGTACCTGGCAATTTGTAGAAAGCAACACTTATAACCCATTTTAGCATTCCTGATTGAGCTGTCTGTACTTTCACATGAGTTTTGAGCTTATTCATCATCTTGTTGATCTTTCTTTCCAGCCTGGCAGATCTGGCAAACTTGTCCATCATATTGACCGCGGATAACTCTTGCTTCATATCCTGGATCTCTGCTTTGGTCTGCGACTCCTGTTCTGCATCCTTGCGCTGCACCCTGGACATAAAAGAGAAGGACGGGAGTAGGATCTGAAGGACACTGCACCCAAACAGGAATCTGAGCACCAGCAGCCACGCCCAGTGGTTAGCCTTAGCCGTGCCCATGTTAGACGCTCCTGGTGGCGTAGGCACCGTTAGCTATGGTAGCTCCATGGGGATCATGTTGGCATCCACCTATATTGCAGTTCTGAAATGATAACATTTTAGAAATGATGGACAAAATGGATGCCAAGGTTTAAGAAGAAGTGTTTATAAAAGGGCAACACGAGGTCCTCCAGGTGTTGAAACTGTTTAATAACTTGCCTGTGGTAGGTGGATACACGAATCTACAAAGGTGATAAAATTGTATAGAACTTAGTACACACACACTTGCAAGCAGGGACAAATGAGTATAAGTAACACTGGAAAAATCTGAATAAAACTAGTGGATTGATAACGTAAATATCATGGTTATGGTATTACACTATAGCTTTGTAAAATGTTAACATGGGGATAACTAGGCAAAGTGTGTAAGGGATCTTGCTGTGTTATTTCTTACTACTGCATGTAAATCTACAATTACCTCAATAAAAACCTCAACTCAATAAAAAATGTCAGGAATCCATAGTTTCTTTATATCAATATTGTGTCATCATATCATATTTTTGTTGTTGTTGTTATTTTCTGTTTTTGTTTTTGTTTGAGACAGGGTCTCTTTCTGTTGCCCAGGCTGGAGTGCAATGGTGCAATCATGGCTCACTGCAGCTTCCATCTCCTGGGCTCAAGCGATTCTTTCACCTCGGCCTCCTGAATAGCTGGGACCACAGTGGTATGACACCATGCCTGGCTAATTTTTAAAACTTTTGTAGAGACAGGGTTTTGCTATGTTGCCCAGGCTCACCTCAAACTCCTGGGCTGAAGTGATCCTCCAGGCTTGGCCTCCCAAAGTGCTGAGATTACAGGTGTGAGCCACCATGTTTCATATAATATTTTAATTATTATATATTTGTTATGTAAGGTTTTTGTAGGGTATCAAATATTATAAAAATGAAGTCGATTTACTGATATGGAAACATGCTATATTGTAAAGTTAAAACAAAGGACCTTGTCAAGTAGCATGTATAATATAATCCCCAAAATACACTTGTCTTTGCAAATACATGTGCTAAGAGTTTTGAAAGGATAAAAAAGAAGCAGTTTACAGTAGTTACCTCTGGGGCATGGGACTACAGGAATAGGGAGTGAAGGACACTTATTTTTCACTTTATGTGTAATTCTTTCTTTTTTTTTTTTTTCTTTTTGAGACGGGTCTTACTCTGCTGCCCAGGCTGAAGTGCAGGGGCATGATCAGGGCTCACTGAAGACTCAATCTCCCTGGGCTCAGATGATCCTCCCGCCTCAGCCTCCCGAATAGCTAGGACTGCAGGAATGCACCACACCCAGCTAATTTTTTAATTTTTAGTAGGGATGGGATTTTGCCATGTTGCCCAGACTGGTCTTGAAATCCTGGGCTCAAGCTACCTGCCTTCCTCAGCCTCCCAAAGTACTGGGATTACAGGTGTGAGCCATGCACACAGCCCATTTTATATGTAATTCTGTAATGTTTGTATGCTATTTACCATGAGCATGTACTACCTTTATAATTAAAATTCTACAAAAAAAAATTCTAGCTTAATAGCAATGTAAAATTTTAATAAAATTTTGTAAAACATTGGGACATACTTGTAAATATGAGGGTAGAAAATGTCTGTAATAACTTCAGGCAATAAGGTAGCAACATGTTGTCACCTAAAGACCAATGTGTTCTTCCAAATTTGGCTGCTCTATAAATTCTATTAGTTTGAAAAAGCCAAAAAAGACTGAAAAAGGAGAAAAATAATTCTTTTTTAAAGTGCTTATGTTAAAAAAATGCCCAGTTCTAGTGCTCTTTCCATTTGTGATTTCCTCAAATCATAAACAATTATCATTTATTTAATGCCTATATTCATAGAACATATGCTAAGGTTATAAGTAAGCATATGATACCCCCCTGACATGAAGATGTTAATAACATAGCTACTGGGAAATAGGACATATGCATAAAAGATAAATAACTATACAATAGGCCAGGAGCGGTGGCTCATGTCTGTAATCCCAGCACTTTGGGAGGCAGAGGCAGGGGATCACCTGAGGTCAGGAGTTTGAGGCCAGCCTGATCAACATGGAGAAAACCCGTCTCTACTAAAAATACAAAAATTAGCCAGGCATGGTAGTGGGTGCCTATAATCCCAACTACTAGGGAGGCTGAGGCAGGAGAATCACTTGAACCCAGGAGGCGGATGTTGTAGTGAGCTGAGATCGTGCCACTGCACTCTAGCTTGGGTAACAAGAGCGAAACTTCGTCTTCAAAAATAATAATAATAGGTCGGGCGTGGTGGCTCACACCTGTAATCCCAGCACTTTGGGAGGCTGAGGCGGGCGGATCACAAGTTCAAGAGATCGAGACCATCCTGGCCAACATGGTGAAACCCCATCTCTACTAAAAATACAAAATTAGCTGGGCGTGGTGGTGTGTGCCTGTAGTCCCAGCTGCTTGGGAGGCTGGGGCAGGAGAATCACTTGAATCCAGGAGGTGGAGTTTGCAGTGAGCCAAAATCGTGTCACTGCACTCCAGCCTAGCAACAGAGCAAGACTCCGTCTCAAAAAATATATATAAAACAAAAATAATAATAATAATAACTATACAATACAGCATAAGTATTATGTGTATTATACAAGTACTACATATATATTATATAAGTAATATACAAGTATTATGTATATTATTTGGTTGCTATAGACAGTAAATTATCCTAGGATGAGGTAATAGCAAAAGTACAGGAAAATCCAATCATGCTTTTGGCAGAAGATAGAATAAATTTGGGATTTTATTTAAGATTGAGTAGACTGATTCAGCTGAAGAAAGGTTTATGTAGAGAAGAGACAGGAAATAAAGTTGGAAAGGAAGGATGGAGTCTTAATGTGAAAAGCATTGAACATCAGCCACCTGACAATCAGTCTATATTTAATATGAATAAAACTTGGTTCAAGATCCATTTAAGCTAGAATATCTAAATTTCAGACTATTGATTTGTTCTGTGTAGCTGAAACTCCTACCCTTTTAGTTGATTAGTATTAAGATTGTTTTGGACCTTATTTATATTGATTTGAAATGTTTATTTGGGAGTGGGCCCAATTCTCTTTAGAGATTTATTACCCAGCTGGGCGTGGTGGCTCATGCCTGTAATCCCAGCACTTTGGGAGGCCGAGGCAGGCAGATCACGAGGTCAGGAGTTTGAGACCAGCCTGGCCAACTTGGCGAAACCCCGTCTCTACTAAAAATACAAAAATCAGCCGGGCATGGTGGTGGGCTCCTGTAATCCCAGCTACTCGGGAAGCTGAGGCAGGAGAATTGCTTGATCCCAGGAGGCAGAGGTTGCAGTGAGCCAAGATTGTGCCATTGCACTCCAGCCTGGGTGACAAGAGCAAGGCTCCATCTCAAAAATAAATAAAAAACAAAACAAACAAACAAAAAACATTAGCTGTTGTTGTTGTTGTTGTTGTTTTGTAAAGAGATTTATTACCCCTTTCAATTTTGCACAGATGCTAGTCAGGTGAAGAAGAGAGGTGAAGGCGTTCTACGCAGATGGAACCCAGGATATATAAAGCCAGAGTCACAGGCAAGACTGTCTTCTGAGGAGGGAGAACGGCAGGAACACACATGAGTGAACGGCAGAAGGAAACCAGCTCAAAAGGCCAGTTATGGAAAAAATTGGAAATGTCATCAAAGTGGGGCCTGGGTGGGGGCAACTAATAGCTTGAAACAATTTTATTATAGAGACAATGGAGCCAGTAATATTTGCTTAAAATATTATTTGAATGGCTGAATAACATTCTATAAAACATCCCAATATGTGGAAGCTTCATAATGTATGTACTCAATCCTCTCTTTTAGAATATTTAGCTGATTTCCAGGTTGTTATTGTTTATTTATGTTTTATCTATTATAACCAGTGCTACAATGAAAATCTTTGCTAGGGTCCATGGTCACCATGTAGACCAGCCTGGTCAACATGGTGACGTAGAGGTTGCAATGAGCCAAGAATGCGCCATTGCACTCCAGCCTGGGCAAAAAGAGCAAAACTCTGTCTCAAAAAAAAAAGAAGAAATGCTGAAAGATTATTTTACATATAACCATAAAATTTATTCTAATTTATTTGTTTATTGAGACAGAGTCTCATCCTGTCGCAGAGGCTGGAGTGCAGTGGCAGCATCTCAGGTCATCGCAGCCTTCATCTCCTGGGTTCACGTGATTCTCCTGTCTCAGCCTTCCAAGTAGCTGGGATTATAGTCGGGTGCCACCAAGCCCGGATAATTTTGGTATTTTTAGTAGAGACGAGGTTTCGCCATGTTGGCCAGGCTGGTCTCCAACTCCTGACCTCAGGTGATTCACCTGCCTTGGTCTCCCAAAATGCTGGGATTACAGTCATGAGCCACCACACCCAGCCTTTTAAATTTTTAAATAACGATCAGTCTTAGGAATATCTTCCCTAATGCAAAAAGTATATAAATATTTAGAAGGGTTTTTATTTCAAAGCAAAGGGATGCAGATTTTATCCTGAAGCAATAGAAAGCCATCAGGGCTGTTTAAACGGGAGAGTTTTTGAAAAGAAAGTTACTCTGGCTGAATTTTGCTGGGTGTTCCAGGATAGGAAGAACTCTGGGATCATTATTAAGAAACTACAACAAAACACTGAAAGAGTGGCTGAAAGCCTCGACTAAAGCCAAGGATACAGAAAAAAAAAGAAGCAGGAGACTACCATATTAGAATTCACTGGGTGTGGTGAGTCATAGAACCTGAGAGATGTAGAGAGGTCTAGGATGACACTAAAGTTTCTAGCTTGAGTGATTTGGTCGATGGTAAAAATCTCCATCTAGGCTAGGAACGAAGAGAATGGAGCAGGTTTAGAGAATTTGTGTAGATGGACACATAGGTAGGATAGATGACAGAGAAGGGTTGCATTGTATTTTAAATCTCTCATATTTTAGGCACTGTCACTCAGGGTGAAGTGCAGGGGCACGATCTCAGCTCACTGCAGCCTTGATCTCACCAGTTCAAGTGATCCTCCCACCTCAGCCTCCCAAGTAGCTGGGACGACAGGTGTGTGCCACACGCCTGGCTAATTTTTTTTTTTTTTTTTTTTTTTTAGACGGAGTCTCACTCTGTCACCCAGGCTGCAGTGCAGTGGCGCGATCTCGGCTCACTGCAACCTCTGCTTCCTGGGTTCAAGCGATTTTCCTGCCTCAGCCTCCTGAGTAGCTGGGATTACAGGTGCTTGCCACTATGCCCGGCTAATTTTTGTTGCTGTTGTTGGCTGTTTGTTTGTTTGTTTGTTTGTTTGAGACAAAGTCTTGCACTGTCGCCTGGGCTGGAGTGCAATGGCGAGATCTCGGCTCACTGCAACCTCCACCTCCCAGGTTCAAGTTATTCTCCCGCCTCAGCCTCCTGAGTAGCTGAGATTACAGGCTCCTGCCACCACGCCCAGCTAACTTTTTGTATTTTTAGTAGAGACCTTGTGATCTGTCTGCCTCGGCCTCCCGAAGTGCTGAGATTACAGGAGTGAGCCATTGTGCCTGGCCCAATTTTTGTATTTTTAGTAGACGGGGTTTCACCATATTGGCCAGGCTGATCTCGAACTCCTGACCTTGTGATCTGTGCGCCTTGGCCTCCCAAAGTGCTGAGATTACAGGTGCGAGCCACTGTGCCCAGTCAATTTTTGTATTTTTTGGAGAGATGAGGTTTTATCGTGTTGCCCAGGCTAGTCTTGAACTCCTGGCCTCAAGCAATTCACCTGCCTCAGCCTCCAAAGTACTGGGATTACAGATGTAAGCCACTGTGTCCGTCCCATTAGAGGATTTTAGGGAGAGATATGAAATGATTGGGTTTATATTTAGAGATAATTTTGAATGACTTGCTAAGAATAGGTGTTAGAGTTATAGGTAACTATTACAATAATCCAAGAAAGAGGGGACTGGTGGCTTGGACTTTTCTAAGCAGCGGTGTATGACTGGGAAATAGGTTCTGGGCATACTTTGAAGACTTGGTCAACAGAATTTTCTAATGGACTGGATGTGTGTATGAGAGAGAGTAGTCAAGGATGACTCCAAAGTTTTGAGGTGAGCACCTGGAAGGATACAGTTGCTATTTACTGGGATGGAGAAGGCTGCTAGAGGAGTAGTACATAGCTTTATGCATGCTTAGTCTGAGATGCTTCCCAGATTCCCAGATATCTAGGTGGAGATGGAGAGCAGTCAGTTGGCAAAAGGGGAAGCTGCAGGGCCAGACATCTGATTTGGGAGTTGTCAGCTATAGATGCTATTTAAAATCATGGGAATGGCTGGGCGCGGTGGCTCACGCCTGTAATCCGAGCACTTTGGGAGGCCGAGGTGGGCGGATCACCTGAGGTTGGGAGTTCGAGACCAGCCTGACCAACATGGAGAAACCCTGTCTCTACTAAAAATACAAAATTAGCCAAGCATGGTGGCACATGCCTGCAATCCCAGCTACTAGGGAGGCTGAGGCAGGAGAATAGCTTGAACCTGGGAGGCGGAGGTTGCGGTGAGCTGAGATCGCGCCATTGCACTCCAGCCTGGGCAATAAAAACAAACTCCGTCTCAAAAAACAAAACAAAACAGACAAACAAACAAACAAAAAAATCATGGGAATATGTGGGATTAGCTGTGGAGTGAGCATAGACAGAGAAAAGGGGTCCAAGGGCTGGGATTATGGATTTTAAAAAAGCAGCCCATTAGGCAGAAGGAAAACCAAGACAGTGTGTGGACTCCTGGAAGTCAAGTGAAGAAATTTATGTCAAATAAATATGTTTTGAAGATAAGTCAGACAAGAACTGACCAAAATTGACCAAAGCAACAAAGATGGAACTGGAGGTCATTATGTTAAGTGAAACAAGCCAGACACAGAAAGACAAGTATTGCATGTTCCCACCCATAAGTGGGTGCTTAAAAATGTGTATACATAAATGTAGAGAGTAGAATGGTAGACAATGGAGATTTTGAAGGGTGAGGGGGTGGGAGGGGGCTGGAGGATGAGAAGTTATTTAATGGGTACAATGTACGTTATTCGGGTGATGGATACCCTAACAGTCCTGAATTGACCATTACGCAATGTTTGCATGTAACAAAATTGCATGTGTACCCTCATACATTTATCCAAATAAAAAAAAAATCCAAAACAAAATAGACCAAAGTATATGACAACATGGATGTGAGTGGCAACACTGACAAGAATAGTTTTGGTGAAATGGTAAGGAGGGAACCTGAAGGTAGTGGATTTAAGGCAGAAATAGCAAGTACAGACTACATTTCAGAAAAAGTTTTCTATACGTGGAGCAGAAGCATGGAATTACAGAGGGACAGGGATGTATGCTTATGGGAACGAGCCAGTAGAGAGGGAAAATAGATGATACAGGGGAAAGTGGGAGCCAGAGGGAGAGAGAGGAGGGAGAGTACTTATAAGAATGATGTTCACAAGTAAATTTGAGGAGATCTGATCAAGTGCCCAAGTGGAGGGCTTGGCCTCTCATAAGAGCATGCACAATTCATTCATGGTAAGAAGATAAAAGGCATCATTCGGCATATGGGCAGATGAATATAATAATGGTGAAGAAACTATGTGGAAGCTCTCTTTTCACTTCCTCTGTTTTCTTGGTGAAATAACAAGGTCATCAGTTGAGAATGAAGAATCCAGGCCAGGAGTGGTGGCTCACACCTATAATCCTAGCACTTTGGGAGGCTGAGGCAGGTTGACTGCTTGAGGTCAGGAGTTCAAGACCAGCCTGGCCAACATGGTGAAACCCCGTCTCTACTAAAAATACAAAAATTAGCCAGCCATGGTCACGTGCACCTGGGATCTCAGCTACTCCAGAGGCTGAGGCATGAGAATTACTTGAACCCAGGAGGTGGAGGCTGCAGTGAGTCTAGATTGCTCCACTGCACTTCAGTCTGGGCAAGAGTGAGACCCTGTCTCAAAAAAAAAAAAAAAAAAAAAATTCAGGGGCAGCACTGGAAGTTTGAGGAGAGAGTTGTTAATGTGTTAATGATTGTCTTGAAAAGTGGGAGAATCAATTTATTAAGGAAATATGAAGGATTACCACACGCCAACAAGGGCCCACTTGAAATTAGTGTCCAGCAACACTGAGACCTCTCAGCATTTTTCTCCAGGTGTATATTGCATGGGTGCAGGCTTAGAGTAGATGGAAAAATGGATATAATTGAGATTTCATTTTGCCAGGTGAGTATGGCAGAGGGAGAAAGAGGCAAGTTGAAGTACATACAAGGCAGTGGTTGTAATAATATAATAGTGGTTCATGGAATCCAAATTGAGTTAGGAGGAGGATGGGGACGTGCAATGGAGTAGGGATAGTGTGAAGATAGTAGGGCTGCAGAGTTGGAGGTTTTAGTGGGATTACAGAATTATTGGAGATAGGGTAGTATAGGAAGTCAGTTGGAAAGAAAGTAAGTGATGACCGGAGAATGGAATGCTTGATAGTGTGGTCATAGAGAGGGGACAAATATCAATAATAAAAAACCCTAGGGTATGAACATGGGAGTAGACAGTGTATATCTGGGGTGGGGTGGAGGTCAAGTCATTGCAGGTTAACAGGGGCATTGTCTAATTGTCTATGTGGATTTATTTTATTTTATTTTATTTTTAAGATGGAGTCTCATGCTCTCACCCAGGCTGGAGTGCAGCAGCATAATCTTGGCTCACTGCAACCTCCACCTCCCAGGCCCAAGCCATTCTCCAGCCTCAGCCTCTCGAGTAGCTAAGATTACAGGCATGCATCACCATGCCAGGCTAATTTTTTTATTTTTAGTTGAGACAGGGTTTTACCATGTTGGTTGGGCTGGTCTCGAACTCCTGACATCAAATCATTCACCTGCCTTGGCCTCCCAAAGTGCTGAGATTGCAGGTGTGAGCCATTGCACCCGACCTATGTCGATTTTTAAAAAATTAACAAGAATTATGACAAGGATATTGCTGAAGAAGAAGAAAGTAAGGTTTTTAAGGCCTTCAGGAAATGTAAATGTCTGTAACAAAGAGAAGTTGCGGTGGTCTATCATGATTTTCAAAGCAGTTGGATTTTTTAGGGGAAGAGGTAGGGACAAGAGTCTAGACGTAGCAGTTATAAGCAAAGATGAAGCTCATCCCAGGGTCTGAGAGAGAAGGAGGGCTATTGGAAGATAAACAGCCACCACCCAAGAGGGCTTCAGAGACCACTACAGTAGTCTCCATTTTGCATAGTTTCCTGGTAAACCCAAATGATGCCTTTCCTGGAGCACTCTTCACTGTTGTGGCAAGCGACAAGTGAGACTGAGACTTGAGTCATACCTCAACAAGCCAAGGAATGCCAAAGTTCTCCAGCAAACCACCAGAAGCTAAGGAAAAAGCATAGAACAGATTCTCCCTCAAAGTCCTCAGAAGGAACCAACCCTATTGTTACCTTGATCTTGGACTTCTGGCCTCCAGAACTGTAAAAGTAAAAATTGAAATACTGGCCAGGCACAGTGGCTCATGCCTGTAATCCTAGCACTTTGGGAGGCCAAGGTGGGCAGATGGCTTGAGCCCAAGAGTTTGAGATCAGCCTGGGCAACATGGCGAAACCCGATTTTCACAAAAAATACAAAAATTAGCTGGGCATGGTGGTGTGTGCTTGTGGTCCCAGCTTCTTGGGGGACTGAGACAAGAGCATCGCTTGAGTTCAGCAGGTCGAGGCTGCAGTGAGCCTAGATCTTGCCACTGCACTCCAGCCTGGGTGACGCAGTGAGACACTTACTTAAAAAAAAAAAAAGAAAAAAAAAAAGAAAAGAAAGACAGAAAAAAGAAAATACTTTCCTACTTATAATATTGCATTGTATCTCTGCCCATATCTATCAATCTCAACATCTGTATATCAACCTATTATCTATCTATTTAAAATGTTATTCTTTTATTGTTATGTTCATTTTTTCATTAATTTGGATTATGTACCCCAGGACAGGAGAGATTGAAGACCATAAATTTAGATTTCTGTGTGCCCACTTATGATACAGAGCACTCAGGAGCCATAGCAGTATTATCAGTACTTACTTGGCTCACTAAGTTTTTCTTGATTTTCTGATATGACATAAAGGTTTTCTTTTTTAACCATCTTTATCTTCAGTCTCCTGTTTTTAGGTAGATATCATTACATAATATCTATGTAATATATCATTACATAATATTACATAATAATGTAGTAATGACTACAGTATTGAGTATTTACATTGAGCATTTACAATGTCTATGTACTTTATCTCATTTGCTATTCACAATGATCCTACAAAGTAAGTAATATTATTGCCCTTTCACAGGTAAGGAAACTAAAGTATAGTTTTTTTTTTTTTAGACGATGTCTCACTCTATTTCCAGGCTGGAGTGCAGTGGTGTAATCTCGGCTCACTGCAACCTTCGCCTGCCCGGGTTCAAGTGATTCTCCTGCCTCAGCCCCCTGAGTAGCTGAGATTACAGGCACGTGCCACCACGCCCAGCTAATTTTTGTATTTTTAGTAGAGGTGGGGTTTCACCATGTTGGCCAGGATGGTCTCAGTCTCTTGACCTTGTGATCCACCCGCCTTGGCCTCCCAAAGTGCTGGGATTAGAGGAGTGAGCCACCGCGCTCGGGAGCTAGCTTTCTTTTTTTTTTTCTTTTCTTTCCTTTTCTTTTCTTTTCTCTTCTCTTCTTTTTCTTTTCCTTTCTTTCTTTCTTTCTTCTTTTTTTCTTTCCTTTCTTTCTTTCTTTCCTTCCTTTCTTTCTTTCTCTTTCTTTCTCTCTCTCTTTCTTTCTTTTTAACATTTGGAGGTCAAGCCAAAGGAGGACTGAGAATTGATCATTAGATTTCGCAGCATGGAGGTAATTGGGAACCTTGCCAGGAGAAAGTTTGGTGATGTAGGTGGAGGAAAGCCTGAATGGACTACGTTCAATAGAGAACGTGAAGAGAGGAACAGGAGATACTGAAACTTTGTAAAGGCTCTTGCTGAAAGGAGATGTACAGAACTGGAACACTAGCTGAGGGAAGGGAGGCTGCGGTAAAGGAAAGTTTTGCTTTGTTTTGTTTTTGAAGGTAGGTGTATGTTTCTACGGAAATCTTTAAGAAAGGAAAATTTATGATGTCTGAGAAAGGGAACAATCTCAGGAAGGTCATTTTATCTGTAAAAAGCCATAATTCCACCTCAATAGGACAGCTGAGCCAATGAAGAAAGACAGTCATCAGGTTTGGAAGGTGGTTTGCATATCCATGGAAGCTCTATACCCCTGGGAAACAGTGAGGCAAACAAGGTCGGCCCCTGTGCGGGATTTATGACTCCTGCCACAGCCCTTGCGCAAAGGTCTGCAAAACATGGTCCGTCTTTTAAGTTCTTCACAGAGCTACAAAAGAGGTGCTCTCTGCCTTGGTGAGGGATGGGGCCAAGTCCCTACCCTGGACGGTAGCTGGAAGATGCTTTCTTACAGTGAAGAAGGTGGGAAGGGAAGAGGCTGGATCTCGAGGGAGGGGGAAACGCCCAAAGCGTGAAGGACACACCGTTTGGGACACTTCATCCATCAGCCCACATCCGACAGGGGTTGAGGTCCCGGTGGCATTTCACACCACGTTCTCTCCGTAAATGAATTCCCCCTTATCAATAGGGAGTAGTTGGCAGAACAAAGAATGTGTGCGCGTGGAGGCTAGAGGTGGGTGGGTGGGTGGGTGGGTGCCTTAGCACAACTCCAGCGGAGAGTGAGTGCGGATAGGAAATGTGTGTATGGCATGAATGGAAAGAGCCGAGAGTGAGTGTGGAGATGGGCAGGGAAGAGCTGGACGCGCCCCAACAGCCAGGGGCCTCCCGAGGGAACGTCCGCCAGTGATGCGGGAGCGCCCGCGGAGGAGCCTCCTTCTCCCCACCCACCTCCCGAACTCCGGCAGTCAGTGGTGCATATAGACATATTTCTGGGAGCTGTCCATGAGCTCATGGCTCTCCTGGCGATAGCGGCAGCGGCTAGGGAAGCAGCCTCCTTTCTCCCGGCGCCGCCGCTAGAATAAGCCCGGCAGCTCGCACTTTCAGAGCACACGCGCCGGGCGCGGCGCTGGGAAGGGGCAGCTGCTTGCCCAGCCCCGCGGCCAAGGTCGCGTCCGACCCCGGCCCGCCGCGGCCCCGAGTCCGCCGGCCGGGATGTAGGTGGCGCGGGAGGGACTTCGGCTGGGCGAGCAGAGGGCACAGCCGCCCCTTCCACTCTGCGGCGCAGGAGCCGGGGCGGGTCCGCGGGGCGCGGCGGCTGCGGAGACTCCGGGCGGGCGCGGGCCGCAGGCCCGACGCGGAGGAGACCGAGGAGACGCGGGAGACCCGGGCGTGACAGGAGGAAGAAACCCGGAGCCGCAGGAAGATGGCTTCTCCCACCTCCCCGGCCCCGGAAGGCGGGGCCTCCACCCCGCCGAACCCGCCGCGGATTCGTCAGGTGGGTGCACAAAGTGCGGGAGGGGCGCCGGCACCCCATTGTCCTCGCGTCCCCCAAGGGCGGGGACCTCAACCCCAATGCGGCGGCTCCCCTAGGAGCGGGGCCGACACGAGCCAACTTGGCTACATCGCCCGGCCCAGGACCATTCTCTAAACCTCTTTTCTCAGTCTCACTTCACACACAGACACACATACAGACACACACGCAGATAGCCCTAGAAAAATACACGTCTTCCAAAACCAGACGTGTAACTTCTGAACGCACGCACACTCACACACACGCACCCCGCAAACTCATCCCTCCCACCCCGCACAGAGGCACACACCCAGCTGTCACATGACCCACTGCAGAGCTATACCGTTAGAAGAAACCAGGGTGCCCCTGGGGGAAAGGTACCCCAGACCCAAACTCCCCGAGGACCTTGAGAAGGATTGCTGGAAGCATTTACTTCCACCCATAGGAGAGCAGGAACCTCATCTAGAGGTTACTCACCATTTCTCAACTTTCGGGCAAAGCTTCACCCAACAACTGCAGCCCTGTATCCTGCATTAGCCATGTAGTACAGAAAACATGTGTTCCTGTTCTCTCCACGTCTATAGAGACACAAACAGCTTCCCCCAGCACTGCAAGGAGGAATGCACGTTTCTTTGACTGTTTGAATAAGCCCTGTTTTCTGTTTGTATGGTAATATTAAAACAAGGGAGTACTCCATCTGGTTGTGATCTGTGATTTGGTATCTAGATTTTTTCCCCCCGGCTACCATTGCCAGGAACTATAGCACCAGCACCTTAGGTTATCACAGTAGTAGCGATTGTGCACTTGCTGTGTTCATGGTAGTGTATGAGTGTGAGAATATGATCCATTGACTGCAAATAGGAAACCTCTTTACCGAAGAGAATTGGATTCCTATTTAGAAAGAGGGCTAAAATTGGTTGATGAATACTATCTGTGCAGGAAAATAATGCCCAACAGAATGGTCTTTCTCCCTGGTAGTGTGGAAATTTTGAAAAATAAAGGAGACTCCAGGATTTATGAAAACGTGACAGTAAAATTGATTGATGCCTAACAAGGTCTTTGCCACGTTTGAATTTTAATATGTGTAAGTAGTGTTATATTAGGGACAACCTTTGTTTATGGGCATTTTTTAATGCAATGACTAAAAAGTAGTGTGTACAGTTTTTGTGGCAATCTGCGTCCCAGAGAAATTGTTAGGGTTTTAAATCCTTGTAGAATCTAGGACTCTAATTTTATGACAATGCATTTTTAATTGCACTTGGAGCTATTCTTTTTTTTATTATTTTCTGGAAGAATTGTGATAGCAGATATCATTAAATCTGTATTTGTGATAGTTATGCATTCAAGAATGAAGGTGAAATTATTGTTATTTGCAATTATAAATCATATTTTAAGCAAAAAATTATTTTTATATTTGGCTAAATATATATGTATGCACACATACATAAACATTGAGGAAGTAAAATTTGTTAATTTATTAATAAACAGAATATGTGCACTCAGACATTTCTATGAAATCTTATTCTGTAAAGCACTTTTATTGATCTAGCAAAAATACGTATAAAAATAGTTATACAAAAAATGTGCGTGGAAGGTCATTGTTATTTTGCAGACTAGACACCCTATTTAGAAAAGCTCATAATTAAAAGCTGTGTAAAATGACATAGTGCTGCAACATTCAAGTTATTGACTGGTGTCCTCTGTTCAGGCTTTCATTTATATGACCTTACAGTAGCACTGTTTTAGTGATTGGTGCATTAATTTGCATAGGATGTAGAAATAGGTTGCTGGAATTATTGGTCCTTCCAGTCTACCTGATTCATCCAGTCAGGTGGAACAGAAGTACTGACAACCTCTGGCTGCAGAATCACCATTTGCCTGAAAGTGATTTTGAGCAAATTAGAAATAGAAAAACGGAAGGGAAAACCGTGTTGTTCTACTAAGTGGTGAAATGTTTTAGGCCCCATTCACATTGTATTTTAACTGTGTCACTGTTTCCTGGACATATTTTTCCATGTTCATTAGTAATTCTTTTTCAAATCAATTCTGGATTGAATTGGAATTAAATTAAAATTGGAATTGTTTTACTCTTTCTGAACCATGTAAAAATTCAGAAAAAGTGTAATTGAGAAAAGCACAGAAGTCCAAAGGAGTAAAGATTTTAATGTGGATTTTTGACAAATCTATTGGTCATACTATTAATTATATAATGGAAATTTAGAAATTAAAATATTTTAGGAAAGCTTTTGGTGAATATAAACATAGCTGGCAAATTAGTATATTTAACTACTAATTTCAATGAAACTATGCTGTGTGGGGATTCATTTATTCAACAGACATTTACTCAGCATAAAGTAATGTTTCATGTTCTAAAGATAATGAAATGAAGAGGACAAAAACCCTACCCATTAGCAGGTGTAGGTATTTGAAGCATCAAACTATTTAAAATTTGAATTACTTATAGGGTCCTTTCCATGTTATTTAGACAAAATAGTTATTTATCAACTTTTTGTTTTGATCACTCCTCTAATAATGAGCCTAAATAATACCTAATTTGTATGTACCTAAAATGTCACTGTAGGATTGAATTCGTTTGCATTTATTTGCTATATTTCTGTTCTCATTAATTATTTCATATATTATTAGAATTACATATCACAAGCTATATATGTTATTTTTTACAACTTCATATTTTGAACAAAGATTTTTTTAAAGCTTTTGGAAAATGCTGATGTAGCATGAAATATCTAAAGTGGTCCAGTACCTTCACACAGTGTACTTAAAATCTAGATTTCCAAAAATGAGAAGGACAAGGAAAAATGACCTTTAAGTTCATTCTGCTAAGGGAGAGATAACTTTATCAATGCGCCATCTTTTCAGGCTTGTTAGGCATTAGGTATTTCCCTTTTTTTCTTCTTCTTGTAAGAAAAGGGGTATCTTTTCTGTGTTTTATATACAGGATAAATAAGTTAACAGAAGTTTCACCTACTTTTTCCAACTCGTAAGTCAAATTAGTTATGAAAATAG